>NW_021160001.1:0-292944 GCF_000001405.40 Homo sapiens
TCCCCATTCCTTCCCAGCTTCCTGAGGCCTAGCTCCTCCATGAGCTGGGGAGGGAGAAAAGAAGGAAAGGGGACAGTGGTACTTACCAGGCAGCTACCACTGTGGTCCTCTCCTTTGATGGACTCCGCTTTTCTAGCCAGTACTTAACTGTTGATGCCTTCTGTGCAGCAGGCGTTGAGTACTCCTCTTTCTGGGGTCCATGTGAGAGTTCTTTCAGAGCTCACTCTTCTATGTACTCTATGTACTCACTCTATCTTATGTACACAGTTGTTTTCATGGGAGATGCAGCTCTGTCTGGTCTTTCCTGCCCCCTCCACTCTCTCCAACTGTACCTCCTTTCTCCATCTTGCAATCTCTCTCTGATTCACTTCACTCGTGCTCAGACAGGCATGGAGAGCAGGTCAGCAAATTCTTCACACTATCAGACTTTAGACAAGCTAAGGAATTTCCTTCTCTGCATACTGTATATAGCACAGTTTGATTTATGTAACATCCTAATCATACTGTCTGGAAGAATCTTACCAAAATGATATTATTCCCCTACATGGGGAATTAGGGCTTGATTTTACCTTCTTTATTATAATTATTTTTACTTGATCAAATTACTAGGAAATATTCCTCCACTTCTAAAGAATACAATTTCCCTGTGTTAGAAAGATCAGTTCCGGTGTGGTGGCTCACTCCCGTAATCCCTGTACCTTGGGAGCCTGAGATGGGAGGATTGCTTGAGGCCAGGAATTGGAGACCAGCCTGGACAACATAGCAAGATCTTGTCTCTATAAAACACTAAAAAAAAAAAAAAAAAAAATTAGCCAGGCATGGTGACACACTACTCAAGAGGCTGAGGCAGGAAGATCACTTGAGCCCGGGAGTTTGAGGCTGCAGTGAGCTATGATCTGCCACTACACTCCAGCCTGGATGACAAAGCGAGACCCTGTCTCTAAAAAAATAAAACCAACAACAAACATACATAAATAAAAAGATCACATCCAAATAATAGAAAAAGATGATATGGTTTTGGTCCCCAAAACTGACATCATGTAGGAGATATTGGAACTTTGTGGGTGGGAGCCAAGCCCATTCTGGTGCCCCTTCTCTAGGTCACGTCTATACTGCTTGTTTGGATTCCTTGGCAAAAACTGATTATGCAAGGCAGTAGGATGCCTGACTCAAATTGGGTCAATCAGATCCTTTTTCTTGGAATTTAAAAAAAAATTGCATGAAAACGTATAGTTAAATGCACAGGTCTTAAGTGTACAATTTAGAGTTTTAACAAATATATACATTCATGTAACTGAACCCCAAACAAGATATGGAGCATTTCCATCACCCTAGAATTTTCATTCATCCCCACTTCCAGTCAGTCTCCTCCATCCATGATGGCCAACCACTATTCTGATTTCTATCACTATACACTAGTTTGATCTTTGTTTGGACTTCATGTAAATGAAATCATACAGTATATATTCCTTTGTAACTGGCTTTTTTTAACCTAAGAATGTTTTTCAGGCTTATCCATATTTTTATGTGAATCAGCAGTTTATTCTTTTTTATTGTTCAGTAATATATCAATGTGTGAATATATTATCCATTCGCCTGTTGAAGGTCATTTGAGTTCTTTCCAGTTTCGAACTATTATGAATAAAGCTGCTAAAAACATTTTTAAAACAAGTCTTGTTGTGGACATAAGTTTTTGTTGGGGCAGGGATTTAAATAGCTAGGACTGAGATTGTCAGTTTATTGGATAGGTATATATTTAACTTGAGAAGAATCTGCCAAACAGTGCTCCAAAGTTGTGCAGTTTTACACTCTCCGCAGCCAAAACGGAGGCTTCCAGTTGTTGTACATCCTTGTCAACATTTGAGATGTCAGTCATTTTCACTGTAGCCATTCTAGAGGCTGTAAAGTGGAACCTCCTGGTTTTGGTTTCTCTTTCACTGATGACTAATGATGCACAACTTTTCATGTGCTCATTGGCCATTTGTATACCTTCATTTGTGAAGTGTCTCTCAAGTCATCTGCACATTTATCTTATTGGGTTGTTTGTCTTTTTACTGATCAGACATATGTATTCTAGATAAAAGTCAGATATATGTATTATTGATATTTCAAAGCATTTTGTTCAGCAGTAGAAATGCTGGCTATATGATTTGAGAATAAAAATACGTATGTAATCGTAACAAGAAGTCTTAAATAAATTAAAATGTCACTATTTTGAATAACTAGAATATATATTAAGAAAAATAATCCCAGGAAATAAAAAATATGCTAGTAATATATTAATTACACATAACAAATTTACAAAATTATATTACCATATAACAGTAATACATAATTCTAAATAAAAATAATCATGCTCACAGATAAAACCAAAAACTTTAAGAGCTTAATTTATTGAAAGGAAATGATTTAAATATCATGAGGGAAATAAAAGGAGACAAGAAGTAGTGGAACACTCTACTGTGCTCCTGCTGTTTGGGAAGATGTACTATACAGAGTTAATTCAACAATAAACAAAGTCCCTGAGGGATGGCCTATACAAGTTGACAAGTTGATGTAAAAATTAATTGAGGGAATTAAACAGAAATGTAAATATTCCAATAACCATCGAATTATACATTTTAAATGGATGAATCATATATGTGAATTATATCTCAATAAAACGATTATAAAAAAAGAATAAACAGGGATTTTTTTTTTTTTTTTTTGAGACAGAGTTTTGCTCTTGTTGCCCAGGCTGGAGTGCAATGGCACGATCTTGGCTCACCGCAACCTCCACCTCTCAGGTTCAAGCAATTCTTCTGCCTCAGCCTCCCGAGTAGCTGGGATTACAGGCATGCACCTCCATGCCTGGCTAATTTTGTATTTTTAATAGAGATGGGGTTTTTCCATGTTGGCCAGACTGGTCTCAGACTCCCAGGCTTAGGTGAGCCTCTCGCCTCGCTCTCCCAAAGTGCTGGGATTACAGGCGTGAGCCACTGCGCCTGGCCTAACAGGGAAATATTTTTCAAGTTAAAGCAAAAAAACAAGGTAAGCCAAGTAAAACTATATAAAAATATATGATTTTGGTGTTTACAGCGCATTGGGTAAAAAATCTTACTCAGAAACAGTATGTAAAATATTTCATTTTTAGAAAACTATACATTAAATCAATGGAGAGTGGCCAAAAAATTTTAACACTGTTTATCTCAAGGAGCTACAACTATGGTAAATATTTTCCTTAATAATGAAATGTGGAAACATTTCTGAGAACAGAAATAAGACAAAGATGTCCATTATCATCACTTGTATTCAATACTTTCCTGGTATTCCTAACAAGAGTAATAAGGCAAAAAAGTTGAAATAAAAATACTAAGATTGGACCTAAGATACAAAACTATGTATGTATATTAACAACTCAAAAGAATCCAGAGACAAGTTATTAGAATTAGTGAGTTTAGCATGACTGAATAAATGGTCAAAATAGGAAAACCAATTTTATTTCTGTATACCAGCAAGAGTTAGAAAATAAAACATTTTAAAACAATACCATTTATGGTAGCATAAAAATTCAAATGTCTGGGGAAAAATTTAATGAAAGATGTCCATGACACTTTAAATATTATTTAGAGAAATGAGAGAAGAGGTAAATAAACAGAAGTACATACCATGTGAACTGATTAGATGACCCAGTATTTTAAAGATGTCAATTCTCCCCTGAATTGACTTATAAACTCAATGCAACCCCGGGCGCAGTGGCTCACGCCTGTAATCCCAGCACTTTGGGAGGCTGAGGCGGGCAGATCATGAGGTCAGGAGATCGAGACCATCCTGGTTAACACGGTGAAACCCCGTCTCTACTAAAAAAAAAAAAAAAAAAAAAATACAAAAAATTAGCCGGGCGTGGTGGCGGGCGCCTGTAGTCCCAGCTACTCGGGAGGCTGAGGCAGGAGAATGGCGTGAACCCGGGAGGCGGAGCTTGTAGTGAGCCAAGATCAGGCCACTGCACTCCAGCCTGGGAGACAGAGCAAGACTCTGTCTCAAAAAAAAAAAAAAAAAAGAAATGGAAAAAGAAAAAAATCTCAATGCAATCCCAATCAAAATCACAACAGGCTTCATATATATATATATATATACATATATATATATACACACATATATATATACACATATATATATATATACACATATATATATATACATATATATATACATATATATATATACACATATATATATATACATATATATGTGTGTGTGTGTGTGTGTGTGTGTGTGAGAGAGAGAGAGAGAGAGAGAGAAGTTGCATGGTTAGGTGGTAAAAGCAGTGTTTGCCATAAAAATCAGGTCGTTGGTTATTTTGGTGGGGAGGGAGAGGTAGTGTTTGGAAGGGGACACAAGGGAAGGTTTTGGGACGCATGGTATACCGGTTGTCAATGTATGGCCTCGCACCTCCAAATCCATCCTTTAATACCTGCTCTGTGGGCACAGCCAGAATCCCCTTCCGCGGCTCCCCTCGCGGCAGGGAGGATGCTGAACAGTAGAGGGCGCTGGAGACACGCTGCGGGAGGCTGTCGCTCGGGTCCGGCTGCGGGCCACAGGCCGCGGATCGCGCTCTGCCAGCACCCCACGCCCGCAAGCGCGGCCCCTCCGCCACCTCGCGGCCCGGCCTGACCTGTTAATCACGTCCCCACGGCTCTCCTAGCGGGGACACCGCCGTCTGCAGGCTCCGTCCCCACAGTGCCCAGACCCCGGGAAGTTTGTCAGTCAGCACCCTGATGCCAGCCGATTCTCAAAAAGCCAGGAGCATCCAAGCAGATGATTTGCCAGACGGTACTGCAGCAATGGAGATGAACAGATAATTCACACAGAAAGAAGGACGGTAGGGAGAGACGTGCGGGGGGTAGGGAGGGCGGAAGGAAGGTCTAGGGGAAGGAGCGGAGGGGGAAGGGAGGAAGGAAGGCAGCAATGGAATGAAAGGAGAAGGGAGGAAGGACTCGTTGAATGCACAGCCTCCCCGGTGCTGCACCGGCAGGAGCGGCTCTCACAGGCATGGGGCCCCCAACAGACCCTACCAGGCTGCGGGAATGTTGCGGCCCTGCAGGGCGTCTCTGTCTTTTTTGAGGTGTCTCTGGTAATATGTGATAATGACAGTATTTTTAGACATTTGGAATCTGATTTAAATTCTAGCTCCATCACCTTCTAGCTGTGGGACCCTGAGAAACGGCACATCCTCCCGGATCCTCCCATCTCTCTTGTCCACACGTGGGGAAGGCTCCTGGTGGGGGGGGGGTTGGGGGGGAGGGGGGAAGAGGGGGGGCCTTGCAGATTTACCAAGCTGATGTACAAAGACCTACTACAGCGGTAAGGGCTAGCTCCTTTCTCCCACTCTGGCAGTCACTCCACTTTGAGAAACATACCTCTTGAAATAAAGCTACAAGTGGAGAGGGGCAGGTGATTTGGGCAAATAATTCCATACTAAATATTAGGACAAAACATCCTAGGCAAATATCACAATCCGGCGTCATAGTGGCATACTAAATTCAACCAAGAAATATAACCATGATGTTGAAAGAGCCAGGCTTATGGAATGTAAACAGCAAACTATTTTATTCTTGTTTTCTATTTACCAATTCAAACTTGCTCTGCAGGTCACTCCTCCCTGCCCCTGGGATAAAATCTAGGGCATGTTCTGTGACTTTCTGGATCACAAAATTCACATGATTTTTGGATCATTCTCAGTTGACCAAAAATGTGTCCTGTAACTTCTAGCTATAAAAATAGGCTCTGTTCAGCATTTAAAATGTCCAATCCCATGTAGGAGTCTAAACTTTCGATTTCATTTTAAGTTTAAGCTTCCTCTTGATTCCTCCCCCAAGCCTGGCCCAGGCTTGCATTTGGCTCCAGGCATTGGGCGGGTAGCAGTGTTTCCTCTCCATTTTTCACTTTCACTCTTCCCTCCCCAACTAGCTTGCAGGGATTTCTGATCACCTAGTAGAGTCTAGAGGCGTAAGGGAAGGAGGTCACCAAGGGGCAGGCCAGGCTTTATGTGAATAGTGCTGTTGTGAGCCAAGTACTTGAGTACTTCGAGGTCCCCTTCTACTGCAGACATCTTCCCTATGGTTCCTGTGACCCAGGTTTGTCTCAGAGTGGGGTTAGCACACGGTACCATCTCCATCCCCTTTAAAAGTATTTATTACATTTTTCTGGAAATGGAAGTCTGGGAATTATATTTCCCTGATAGTCTTATGAGCAGGATTCCAGGTTGATTCTGCCAAATGTGAGGCACTCAGATGAGACTAGAAAGCAGAAAGATGGTTTAAAAAATCATCGTTTTCTTCCTTTGACTCTGCACTTATGACAGCAGGATGCTCGAGACTCTTGCAGTAATTTGGGCAAAGATTTCCACAGTGCAAAATAGCAAAAACGTAACTGGCAAATAGCTGTACAAATTACAGTCCATTTTCATCATGGAATGTCAGTTTGGCAACAATGGCATCGAGGCCCAAAAGCAGCTCTGCAGTAGGGGGGTTCCTCCTTGGTGACTGGATGGGCACAGCCAAGCACAAATTCCTGAAGATCCCAGCTCCAGGAAACATCAGCATGGTTCATTGCGTTGTCCACCTGAATTCTTCACCCCTCCCTGTGGCTGTGTCCATTGCCCTGTAGTGTTGCAGTTCCCCTCAGGAAAAAGATATCATTTACTTCTCTGACCCTTGATTTGGAGCTTGGCTATGTGACGTGCTTTGGCCAATGGGATATTGGATGACACAACATAAGGAGAGACACAGATATGCATCTGCACAATGCAGCTTGCCTTTTTATGCTTCTGCCTTCACCATGAAAAGAGCTTTCCCTGGGGGTAGCAGCTGTCCCTGCAGCCTGTGTTCAGAATGCACAAATGTGAGGAGCCAAGCCCAGCCAGCTTGAAAGTGAGTTGCCAGGCCCAGCGCAGTGGCTCACACCTGTAATCCCAGCACTTTGGGAGGCCGAGACAGGCAGATCACCTGAGGTCCGGAGTTCGAGACGAGCCTGACCAACATGGAGAAACCCCCGTTTCTACTAAAAAATACAAAATTAGGCCTGGCGCAGTGGCTCACGCCTGTAATCTCAGCACTTTGGGAGGCCGAGGCAGGCGGATTACCTGAGGTCGGGAGTTCGAGATCAGCCTGGCCAACATGGAGAAACCCCGTTTCTACTAAAAATACAAAAGTAGCCGGGCGTGGTGGCACATGCCTGTAATCCCAGCTACTTGGGAGGCTGAGGCAGGAGAATCGCTTGAACCTGGGAGGCAGAGGTTGCGGTGAGCCGAGATCATGCCATTGCACTCCAGCCTGGGCAACAAGAGCAAAACTCCGTTGAAAGAAAGAAAGGAAAGAAAGGAAGGAAGGCAGACAAAATTAGCCGGGCGTGGTAGCGCATGCCTGTAATCCCAGCTACTCAGGAGACTGAGGCAGGAGAATCACTTGAACCTGGGAGGCGGAGGTTGCAGTGAGCTGAGATGGCGCCACTGCACTCCAGCCTGGGCAACAAGAGTGAAACCCTAAAAAAAAAAAAAAAAAGTGAGTTGCCTACCCTAGCTCAGACCACCTCCAGCCAACCCACAGATGTGTTAGAAATGAGTGCTTATTTAAGTATGGCATTGACATGTTGTGATTAGTTGTTATGCACCATTATAGCAAAAAAATTGCACACTGATAAAAGTAACTGTTCCCTCGTTGGCTTCACCAGCTTTCCCAAGAATTGTTTAATCCCATTCCCTGTATAAAATCACTCTCTGCTGAGAATCCTTTTTCTGAGAAAAGAATTCTGAGAATTTTTTTTCTGCTTGAGGCAGACCAACACTCATTCCAAGAACAACTGGAAAGGCTGAATAAAACACAGAAAACTTTTTTAAAAAGTTTTTGGAAAGCTTCCCAGTTAACAAACATTTGAAGGGTCATAATCTCAAAAGAAGAAAAACACAAGGAGGCAAGCTGGCCCTCTGTGAACTACTTTTCCCTTCAGGAAACGTGCTGATTTTAGCTAAGAGGCCGAGCATTTGGGCAGACGGCCATAGCTAAGAGGCAGCAAAGGCAGCAGAGTCTTCAGCTGGAGAGACAAGAAATGGAGACTGAGGTTGTCAAGGCAGCTGGAACTGAAGGGGCCAAGATATCATGTAGAAGGGAGACACAGAAAAGGAACACTTTCCCCTTGAGGCATCTGCTGAGTTAAGCTATGCAGAAAGGCTATGAAAAGCAGCAGGTTTTGGCAGTGTCATATTAATGAGATAAAAGTTGGAGTTCAGGACCCACCAAGGAAAAGAAGCCTAATAATCACATCAGACACTCAGTTGGAATCCTTGGAGGACCACACTCTAGATAGACGGGCAAACCAGAGATGGAGATGAAGCCTTCCAAAAACTGCAACATAGACTCTAGTCAGTTCGGTACCATTGGATTAAGGTAAAATCTTCCCACTCTGTCTATCAGATGACATGGTAAACCCTCCCTTGAGACAGACATTGTTTTCAGATCATGTTTCCTGGAGCCACTAAAATTTATTATAATGGTTAGCATTCAACAATAAGTGATCAAACACACCACAAAACAGGAAGGAGGGGAAAACAGACACAACAAAACGGAGCCACTAATGACCCAGATATTGGTGTTATCAGACACAGACTTGATGGGTGGAATAGAGACTTTCATCAAAGAACTGGAATCTACAAGAAAGAATGAAATGGAAATTTAAAACTTAAAAATACAATAATTGAAATTAACTACTTAGCATATGGGTTAACTACAATTAGATTTAGCAGAAGGAACATTCTTTGAACTGTAATATAGGACAGAATAAAAACTCTAAGCTGAAGAACAGAGACAAAGAGTATGGAAAATACAGCAAAGAACATAAGATACTTGTGGGAAGTGGTGAACAGGCCTAACACATATGTAACTGGAGTCTTAGAAGGGAGGAAGATGGGGCAGAAGGAACAGTTAAATAAATATAGGCTGAGAACTTTCCAAAACTGATAAAGCTTTATGATCCCCAAGCAGGATAAATAAAAACAAAACTGCATCCAGGCACACTATACTTTTTTTTTATTATTATTTTTTGAGACGGAGTTTTTCTTTGTCACCCAGGCTGGAGTACGGTGGCGCGCGATCTCAGCTCACTGCAACCTCTGCCTCCCCAAGGTCAAGCGATTCTCCTGCCTCAGTCTCCCGAATAGCTGGGATTACAGGCACGCGCCACCATGCCTGGCTAATTTTTGGATTTTTTAGTGGAGACGGGGTTTCACCATGTTGGCCAGGTTGGTCTCAAACTTCTGACCTCAGGTGATCCACTGGCCTTGGCCTCCCAAAGTGCTGGGATTATAGGCGTGAGCCACCGCACCCGACCCAGGCACACTATACTTAAACTGCTGCAAATGAAAGACAAGGAAAAAACATTAAAAGCAGCTAGAGGCAGGTAGGAGGGACACATTTCTTCTTTTCTTTTTTCTTTTCCCCTCCCTCCCTCTCTCCTCCTTCCTGCCTCCCTCCTGTCGTTTTCTTTTGTAGAGGGGGGGGATCTTGCTCTGTTGCCTGGGCTGGTTTTGAACTCCTGGGCTCAAGGGTGCTGGGATGACGGGCGTGAGCCAGTGCATGTTACTGACACATTACTCTCAAAGGAGAAACAATAGCACTGAAAATCACTTGTCAACAGAAATGATGGAAGTGAGAAGATAATGGAGTGCCATTCTGAAGTTCCTCAAAGAAAAAAGTGTCAACCTGTAATCCTATATTCACAAAATATACTTAAAAATGAATTTGAAATAGATGTTTCTATTCAAAAACTGAGAAAGGCTGGGTGAGGTGGCCTGTAATCCCAGTCCTTTGGGAGGTCAAAGCAGGCAGACTGTTTGAGCTCTGGAGTTTGAGACCAGCCTGAGCAACATGGTGAAATCCCTTCTCTACAAAAAATACAAAAGAATTAGCCAGGTATGGTGGTGCCTGCCTGTAGTCCCGCTACTCGGGAGGCTGAGGTGGGAGGACTGCTTGAACCTAGGAGGTTGAGGCTACAGTGAACCATGATCATGCCACTGCACTCCAGCCTGGGCGACAGAGTGAGACCCTGTCTCAAAAACAAGCAAACAAAAAAACACAAAAAAACCTGAGAAAATTTGCTGCCAGCAGATGTGCATACACAAAAAATACTAAAGGGAATTCTTCAGGTAGAAGAAAACTGATCTATGATAGAATCACAGAAATGCAGGAAATAATAAAAAAAAAACAGAGTGAATATGTGGGTGAATACAAATGAATATTGACTGCACATAGCAATAATAATAATGTCTCGTTAGGTGTAAAATATATGTGAAATTAAAATGAGTAATAATAATATACATGCAAGAGTAGAATGGAGGTAAATAGAGATTGAGTATTGTGAGATCATAGCATTGTCTGGGAAACAATAAAAAGTAAAATTTGTATTAGATTATAATAATGTACAGAAGTTGTAATCTGTGGAGGAAACCACTAAAGAAATTATAAAAGAATGTGTAAGTAAAACCAATGGTAGGGGGGGAAACGGAATTAAAAAAATAATCAGAAAGAAAGCAACAGAAAAGAAAAAATAAAAACAAAAATGGGTAAGACAAATGGAAACAAGTAGTAAGATGGTATTTATGAACACAACTATATCAGTAATTACAATAAATGTAAATTCACGAAATACACAAAAGACAAAATTTGACAGACTTGATTAAAACAACTCTATTCAAGAGACATGACATCATTATAAGAACATTGAAAATTCAAAAATAAGGGGGAAAGTGAAAAAAATACCATTGTGAGTGGTAGAGAAAGCCATTTCACATAATAAAGGTTCACTCTACCAGAAAACATCAATTTTAAATGGGTATGAGCCTAATAACACAACCTCTAAATGCATAAAACAAAAACTAACAAAACTCAAAGGAGAAATAAACAAATTCATAATAACAGTGGCAGGCTTTATCCTCTCTCAGTAATTTATAGAAAAACAGACAAAAATATCAGTAAAGACGTAGATAATTTGACCAACCTGATTAACAAACTTGACCCAGTTGAAATACACATAACACCTGCACACAACTGCAGAATGCACATTCTTTCAAGTGCAAGAACATTATGATAAGAATATTATAGGAAAGTCTGTCATAAACATAGCTTATATAAAAATATAACAGCAAATTAATCTAAATTTTATTTATTTATTTACTTATTTTATTTTTTTGTTTATACTTATGTCATAAACATAGTTTATATAAAAATATAACAGCAAATTGATCTAAATTTTATTTATTTATTTATTTACTTATTTTATTTTTGGAGACAGAGTCTCGCTTTGTTATCCAAGCTGTAGTGCAGTGGCGTGAACATGACTCACTTCAGCCTTAACCTCCCGGGCTCACGCAATACTCCTGCCCCAGCCCTCCAAGTAGCTGGGACAACAGGCATGTGACACCATACCTGGCTAATTTTTGTGGTTTTTGTAGAGACCGAGTTTCACCACGTTGGTCTCAAATTCCTGAGCTTAGACAATCTACCTGCCTTGGCCTTCCAAAGTGCGGGGATAATAGATGTGAGCCACTGAGCTCGACTTAAATCTAAATTTTATTTTATTTTATTTTATGGCCATGCTCCCTCTAATAAATCTAAATTTTAAATAAATAAGTCCAAGTATTATTGTGTTTATGTGTATAAACCTGCACACACACACAAAAGTGTACACACCCTGCTGGTTTCTATTACAAGAATGTTAAGTTTGGTTTGACATTCAACAGTCAATTAGTATAAGTCATCACATCCAAAGAATAAAGGAGAAAAATAAAATTATTTCAAAAGGTGCAGAGTAAGTATTTGAGAGAAATTTAACCTTATTTGTAATTAAAAAAATCTTTTTAACAGCTTGAGAATATATGTTAATGAGTACATTAAAAATCCTATAACAACCATCAAACTTCATGGTGAATATTGACAACTCTCCACATGCCACACCCACCACCCCTGAGATTGAGGATGGACAAGAATACCCACTATCACTACTTATAGTCAGCATTCTGCTGGAGGTCCTAGCCACTGCAATTTGTATACCAATTTTATATCTTGCAACCTTGCCAAACTTATTAGCTCTAGTAGTTTTTTTGTGTGTGGATTCCTTAGGATTTTCCATAGACAAGATTATGTCATGTGCAGATATAGTTTTACTTCTTTCTTTATGATCTGGATCACTTTTATTTCTTTATCTTGTCCAATTGCTCAGCCACTGCAGTTTGGCAAGAGCTAAATAAGGCATAAAGATTAAGAAAGGAAGAAATAAAACTGTCATTCACAGAGGACATGATTATACAAAAATAATCTGCAAATTATTACAATTTAAATGAATGTCACAAAGCCTCTCACTGGATAACAAGGTCAACATAGTTTTGTAGCAACAGAATCTGTATATACTAGCCATAAACAAATATAAAACGTCTAAGAATAAATCTATTGAAGGATGTGCAAGAACACTTTACTGAAAACCACAAAAATAGTTCTGAGAAACATACAAAAGACTTAAAGTGAAGAGATATACCATGTTAATGAATAGGAAGATTGAATATTTTAATGATGTCAAATGGCCCCCAAATTGTTCTACATAATCAATTAAATCCAATCAAATTCTAGCACTTTATTTTGTGGAAATTGACTAGCTGATTCTAAAGTGTTTTATGGAAATGTAAAGGGCTTCTTTCTTCTGGAGTTGCCTTGTGGACAGGATTTGAGACAACCCAGGCCAGGTTTCTCTGGTCCATGGGAAGCATGCGTATGCTTTTTGCCCTGACTATGTCTGTAGAGAACAGCCCAAACAACAACCTCCTCCCCATCAGAGCAGAGAGCCAGCTAGTCTCTTGCCATTTAGATTTTTCAGGGATGAGTCAGAGATACCAGTCTACTCTGTCCTGCAGAAAAGGATACTTATCAACTTTTCCAAGCGGCCCTAGAAAAGTCACTGCTAGTCAGAAATCTCACCTTGGAATGTGGGGGTGGCTGGCATCTATCCGGATGTCAGATGAAACAGAAACAGTTCCACTGTAGTAGCCTGCTCTATAAACACACAGAGAACCCCTATTACATGTGAGCTATGAAGCTATTAGAAACTACAGCTTTGCGGACTACTTTGAAAATGTGCAAGTGGGCCGGGCGTGGTGGCTCACGCCTGTAATCCCAGCACTTTGGGAGGCCGAGGCGGGTAGATCATGAGGTCAGGAGATCGAGACCATCCTGGCTAACACAGTGAAACCCCGTCTCTACTTGAAAATACAAAAAATTAGCAGGGCGTGGTGGCAGGTGTCTGTAGTCCCAGCTACTCCGGAGGCTGAGGCAGGACAGTGGTGTAAGTAAACCCGGGAGGCGGAGCTTGCAGTAAGCCTAGATCGCGCCACCGCACTCCAGCCTGGGCGACAGAGCAAGACTCCATCTCAAAAAACAAACAAACAAACAAACAAACAAACAAAAAATGTGCAAGTGAAATAAGTGACAAAAAGCAAACACAAGATATTCTGTTCATACGAAACACTGCGAGGCGACACTTGTGTTTGTAGATTGACAGAAATTGGAGGTGGAGTTAAAGAGGTAGAAACTCAGTATAACATTCATTGCCTCTTTTGCTAAAGTTGTTTCACTGCATAAGAAAAAGATACTGGTCGGGCTGGGTGCGGTGACTCATGCCTGTAATCCCAGCACTTTGGGAGGCTGAGGCAGGTGGATCACCTGAGGCCAGGAATTTGAGACCAGCCTAGCCAACATGGTAAAATTCCGTCTCTACTAAAAATAAAAAAAATTAGCCAGGCATGGTGGCGGGCGCCAGTAATCCCAGCTACTTGGGAGGCTGAGGCAGGAGAATCGCTTGAACCTGGGAGGTGGAGGGTGCAGTGAGCCGAGATCACGCCATTGCACTCCAGCCTGGGTGACAAGAGGGAAACTCTGTCTCAAAAAATTAAAATAAAAAAAAAAAAGAAAAAGAAGGAAAAAAGAGAAAGAGATAGTGGTTCCATGTGCTGTTCTAGTTACACAAAACAACGTGTTGACGTGCAGGCTGCACGATGCCAGGTGCAAATACACACTACCTGTTACAGTAACTGTGACAAGCACAAGGGCTGCTCACTAGCTTGAGTGCAACTTCTGGGGAGTTGATGGCAGTGATCTGTGGGTACTTCCTTCTTAACAAATTTTACATCAATACTGCAACACAGCAATCTCAGCCCTGTGGGCTATACCATAGCCACATGCTTTCACCATTTCCTGCTCAAAGGGAGAGCCCAGGAACTGAATGCTCTTAATCAGGGAGAGCACAGAAACAGCAGCAGAACAGCTGGAGAACCAGGGCTGTGTGGTTTTGGACTGTGGGGAGGGTGGGCCATGGGCAGACTTGATACAATGTGGGAGGGCATTTGACACAGCCCCGTGGAGGACCTAATGCTCGGGGAGGCCTTCACCCAGCACAGTGAGCCATGCCGACACTTGGTGCCTGAGTGCGCTGGTCACAGCGCCCTCCCTGTGATTTTCCCCATAGCAGTGTGTTTTCTCTGCCAGGCAGAAGGCAGAGAAACCCTGGCTGAAAAAGCAGTGAGGGTCATCGACTGCATGAACACATCATCAGCTTTCCCAGATGGAGGCACCCAAGTTTACCCTGCAGGTCCATTCAGCAGGTAGAGCTGGGTCATCACTAAACAGGATCTTTCTTCTGAGCATCTGAGATTCTGGTCCAAATCAGGGCTGTGAGGACCAGGAGCCGGGATTCCGAGCCCAGGCAGCCCCGCAGATAAGGAGGAGGGAGTGTGTCGGAAGGCTGTATGGCCAGAGCCGCTGACCGGGCCAGGGCTTCTTTGTCCCCTCTTCTCTCCTGCATATCAGCACTCACGTCCTCCTGGCTCGGGCTGGCTGGCAGCTCGGGGAGCTGTTGGATGAAACGTCCATGCGTGTGGCTGTGGCTGTCACATGCAACTGCGAGGATGGTCGGCTCCCAAAGCGGAACCGCGGTGCTGGGCGAAGGGTCAGGGCTCCGTGGTGCGGCAGAGCGCATGCCAGCGCTTCACCAGCTCCTTGGGCTTGCTGAGCATCTCGTCCCAGTGCTCCAGCTCTCTGCCGCGGGTGTACATGTAGGGGCCCACCACCACTCGGCCCAGCTGCTGGCTCTCTGCAGGGGAGGGAGAGCACCGGTGTGCTCCTGAGCACAGAAGCCCCGTCCCCAGTGACCTCCTTTCCTCCCTCCTCCTCCCCAGGAGGAAGTAGCAACTCCCCTCCTCTCTGAGTGGGAGCTGACAGGCCCCAAAGGGGCCCTGCCTTTGCTCTGCAGCTGGAAGGGCTGCTTCTCCCCCTGGGAGATTGGGAGGAAGGAGAGCCCTGAAAGACTCTCTCCTTGAGGGCCACCAGCTCTGCCCCACACCCTTCTGTGGGGCCGTATTAAGTCTACCTTATGCCAAAGAGCTGAGGGAGGAAAGGGCCCCTCTAGAAAGAAGGCCTCGGCCATCCGAGAGTACATTCAGCAGTAACATTCACTGGCCACCGTGGAGAAGGGTCTTAAGTCCAGGCCATGTGGCCAGCCACGGCCTGATGGCTCTGTTTCCCCAGAGTGGCAGTGGGTGCTGGGGTGTGGGGCAGTGTGGGAGCTGGCTGACAGAACTCGCCCAGAACCCCAAAGTCTCATCTGGAGGGCACGAGGAAGGTCAGAGCACCAGGTCCCTGGGCTGGTGGCAGGCCTGGCCCCTCCCACTCTCTCGGGTGATTTGCTCCAGGAGAGGGCAGCAGAGGCCATTGCTTAACCTCTTTCTTTTTCTTTTCTTTTCTTTTTTTTTTTTTTGACAGAGTCTCGCTCTGTGGACAGGCTGGAGTGCAGTTGCAAGATCTTGGCTCACTGCAACCTCTGCCTCCCGGGTTCAAGTGATTCTTCTGCTTCAGCCTCCCGAGTAGTTGGGCCTACAGGCGTGCACCACCACGCCTAGCTAACTTTTGTATTTTTAGTACAGACAGAATTTTACTATGTTGGCCAGGATGGTCTTGATCTCTTGATGTCGTAATCCACCCCTCTCGGTCTCCCAAAGTGCTAGGATTATAGGCGTGAGCCACCGCACCCAGCCAACCTCTTTTTTTTTTTTTGAGACGAAGTCTCGCTCTGTTGCCCAGGCTGGAATGCAGTGGTGCGATCTCGGCTCACTGCAAGCTCCGCCTCCCAGGCTCATGCCATTCTCCTGCCTCAGCCTCCCAAGTAGCTGGGACTACAGGCGCCAGCCACCACACCCAGCTAATTTTTTGTATTTTTAGTAGAGACGTGGTTTCACTGTGTTAGCCAGGATGGTCTCGATCTCCTGACCTCGTGATCTGCCTACCTCGGCCTCCCAAAGTGCTGGGATTACAGGTGTGAGCCACCGTGCCCGGCCCTTTTTTTTTTTTTTTTTTTTTTTGACAGATTCAGCAGCCTCGCCTCCTGGGTTCAAGAGATCCTCCCACCTCAACCTCCCAAGTAGCTGGGATTACAGGGGTGTGCCACCACGCCCAGCTAATTATTGTATTTTTAGTAGAGATGAGCGTTTCACCATGTTGGCCAGGCTGGTCTTGAACTCCTGAGCTCAAGTGATCCACCCACCTTGGCCTCCCAAGGTGCTGGGATTACAGATGTGAGCCAGCATGCCCGGCTGCTTAACCTGTTTCTAGGGTGCCACAGACAGAGCTCAACTGGACTAAAGCTGGGCCTGAAACCCAGGCCTTGGGCAATATTTCAGCCTTTCTGAGCACTAGTTTCCTTAACCAGGGAGGGAGCTCGTACGGCTCCTTCTGAGGTCAGGACAGGAGGCACTCACTCTGCCTGAACACTCGGCAGCCCCTCGTGGTCCCCATCCCAGCAGCCCAGGGTAGGGTGTGGCCTTACTGTCCCCTTCCATGTTCTGCACCACAGTCAGGCTGAGGCTAGCGGTATCCAGCTCGGTGGCATCGGCCTTGAAGCTGAAGGTCTCATTGTACACAGGGTTGATGGAGCCCAGCACAGCTGAAGTCTTCTTGCACTTGACAAACTTGTTGTGGTTCATCAGAGACACTTTGACAAACACACCTAGGGAACGGTGAGCACTAGTGGGCTGGCAGAGGCAGGTGGGAGCAGAGCCCCTGCCTGTGGGAGGTCCGGCTAGGAGGGCACGTGCCCAAGCTAGGTGCCAGGGCCCCACCCCTCACACAGTGCTGCGGCCCCGCCGGCGTGACCAGAGGAAGCCGGCTGAGGAGTGCACTGCCCTGCGGCCCAGGCGGGGCTCCGCTCCCTTCCTTTTCCTTCCTCTTTGCATCAGGAAAGTACCCACGGCTCCTGCAGGCCCTGGTTTACCAGAGCCTAGCACCGCAAGCCTGTCCCTCCCTGTTGGGGGGCTGCTCACTGGGCCCCCAGGCCCCCTGGGGCCCCTTAAACACCTTGTACAGAGGGCTAAGATTTGGTGGGTGAGGGTCAGAGTCACAGTGGAAGGTCTGGATCCTGCCTGGCTTACGGTGACCCCAGATGTGAACACAAACAGGTGGCTGACCACCACCACCTCACTGGGATGGGTGGGATGTGTGGGGTGAGCCCAAATGGGGTGGGACATGTGGGGTGAACCAAGGCCTCCCCTTCTGCAGCTCCTGTATTCTGGGAGGCCAAGCATCAGTGCCCATTGAGTCGGGGGCTCTTCCCCTGTGGGGAGGGAGGTGCGGGCCTCACCCTGGAGGAACTGGACCCATGCCGCTGATGGAAAGGTGGAGGTGGAGGCAGGCAGGACAGTTCAAAGAGCCAAGACGCTGCCTCGGGAAACAGGAGGGGCAGGGCCTGGTATTGCGGCTGGGTTAGAACCCTCCGTAGGGGAGGCCAAGGAGATGCAGCTTTGGGTTCAACACAGGAAGAGGCTTCCTGCACCAGAACTGTCGACCGAGGGACAGCACGTCTTGTGAGGTAGTGAGCACTCCATGATAGGTGTATGCAAGCAGAAACTGGATGGTCAGGGATGAGGTTGGACTGTAGCCCCAGGCTGTAAGCTCGGTGGGTGGGACCTTCCCCAGGAGGAAAGGGAGGAACTCACTGACAATGCCTCTGTCCTCCTGGAGCCGGAGGCCCTTGGCACGCAGCACAACCACCGTCAGGCGGCTCAGGTAGTCGTTGTAGCTGAGGCAGAACTGGAGGTCGCCAAACTCCGAGGGGGGCTGGGGAGGCCAAGATGGAAGCACCCCATCCTGTTACTCTGGCAAGTGCTGAAGGGGTCACAGAACCCCCAGAGAGCCTCCCGCTTCCTCCTAGCGGCCCATGCGACACACCCGCATGGTCCCCTTTGAGTTCCACTGCCATTTTAAGGATGGGGCAACTGTGGTCTGGAGAGTTTAAGGGGCTTGTGCAGTCCTGTGGACCACAGCTAAGGAGTCACACCCAGGTCTGAGCCAGCTGGGGCCTTCCTGGGGGTGGTGGGCTGGAGGAAACATTTCCCTGGGCTGGACCATTTGTGGTGTCATCTCTCACAGCTGTCTAACCTAGATAAGAATCCAAATGTGGATATTTCAGGTTGCTCCAGGGGGTCTGATGGCCAGTGTGACAACAGGACCTCAAGCAGGCCCTCCCTGCCCAGGGGCAGGTCCGTTCCCACCTGTCCCATGCTGCTTGGGGCCTGGGCCCTCCTCCCTGAGTCACTGTTGTAGGGTGGTGTGCAGGATGCTGAGGGCTGATGCCGCCAGCAGGTGCTGGGCCCTGTGCACACCTGCCAGCTGATGCTCAGTGGCATAGGCATGGTGACCTTGACCATACCTCCAGGCTCTCAGCCTCCAGGTCTCTCCAGATGACACGCCGGCAGTCCCCCACTAGGGTCTCATTCTTCAAGGGGAAGAGCACCTGGCCCAGGAGCTGGTGCTTCCTCTGCCTGTCCACGTGGTAGACGGAGAACTTCAGCACCCTCTGGGTGATGGTCTTGCTGGACACCTGGGGGGGACAAGGACACCAGCCAGAGTCAGGCGTGGGGGTAGGGGATGGGATGGTGTGACTTGTTATTCTGGACATGGGTGCTTTTGGGAACGGGTGTCTCAACCAGGGACCCACATCCCCCAAACCTAGGCATTTTCAGGGGACCCTTCTCAGCAGCAGAGCCGTGTACCCCTGGAAAGTGGGGGTAGGTGCCAGGACCTTGGTACACAGAGTGTGGTCCGAGGACCTGTAGCGTCTACCACCACTTGGAGCCCTGTTAGAAATGCAGGATCTTGGGCCCCAGCCCAGATTCATGAATTGGAATCTGCCGTTTAACCGGAGCACCAAGTGACATGGCTGCACGGTGAGTGTGGCTCCGCCACCACCCTGCACTGTAGCAAAGGCCCAGGAGCCCAGGGCACCGGCCTGTCTCTGCTGTCAGAGCTGGGCATGCCAGCTCTCTCCTCCCTGAGATTTGGCCTCCTCGCCTGTGAAATGGGGATTATGGGTCTTCCTCTCTGGTTGTAAAACCCCAATCACAGTGTCTGACCTCCAGCAGATGGCCCATTAATATTGATTTTCTTTTCTTTCCCCTTCTCCCTTTTCCACAGAGGGATTGGATCAAGCTGGGGCGAGATAGAGTGGGGAAGTGATGAGCTAAGAAAAATTAGCCTGCAAGCATGACGTGTCGCACGTCAGCAAGGCTGCAGCCTTGGATTCTGATGTCTTGAGAAGAGCGATTCACCTGTGAATTCTCACAGCCCTGGCCTCAGAAAGACGGCCCGGGACCAGGCCCGATGGCACCCCTCTTCCCAGCTCTCAGCCAGGGCGGAAGGCACAAGTGATGGCCCTGGCCTCCGCAGTCACACTCCTCCTGAAAGCTGACTGGCTGAACCTCACCTCTTGGCTAGCTTGCCACCCAGCTCTTGAGAACATGTTTGTCCAAGGCCTCTTGGCAGGTCTCGATGACTCCTTCCCCTAAGGGCCCCCAGTCACCTGCTAAGGCTCCCAGGCCCCTGTGAAACTGGCTCGGTGCCCCAATAGACTCTCCACCTCCAGACCCTAAGCCGGCCAGCCCAGAGTGCAGCAAGGCACCACACCTACCCTGTGAGGGCACTCGGGCCCCGCGCTGGCCTCTGACAGCACAGGAAGCTTCTGCATTCACGCTGAGGCCTGTCTTTTGCCTT
The DNA here is from genome assembly GCF_000001405.40 of Homo sapiens. Lineage (NCBI taxonomy): Eukaryota > Metazoa > Chordata > Mammalia > Primates > Hominidae > Homo > Homo sapiens. The sequence continues at coordinate 20,112 of NW_021160001.1, forward strand.
CCTTGGATAAACTTGCCAGAAACCCCATAGTGCTTCAGGCCTTTGGGATAATTCCCCTGAGCCCCATAGGCCAGGGCCTGGCATTCAGTAGTTGCTCTAAAATTGTGTTTTCACCCACTCTCTTCCAGGTAGTCAGGACAGGGAAGCCCAGGCTTCTGGTCACCACTCACCAAATCTCTCCCCTGCCCCTCTATCAGGGATCAGCTCCTATAGGCCTTAACCTAGCAGACTAGGTAAAGCAGAGCTGGTGGCATCAAGGGTCCCGGGGGCTGCAGAGCCCTGGCTGGTACAGGAGGCTGGGCTCTCCTGTAGGTCTGCACCTTCCCAGCAACGCGGAGGGCACCAGACCCTGCCTGCTCCAGAAGCTGTACCTGAAAGATGAAGTGCTCGTCAAACTGCGGGTTGGAGGTTTTGCGTTTGGTCTTGGATTGGAGGAAGCGCCGCTCATCGGGCAGCAGGTAGAGCTTCACCAGGGGGCTGCAGGTCTCCGAGGGGGCTTGCAGGTGCTGTGCCTTGATCAAGCCCACCAGCAGCCGCTCAGCCTCCTGCTCATATTCCACCGAGAACCACAGCCGCCCCAGGCAGCCGTCGGGGAAGTCGGTCTCACTTTTGTCCTCTGGGAACTTGTACAGCTCTGGGTTGATGGCCCCCACCATACATGCATCTCCTATGACAGAGGGTGGGAGGGCTGGCAGGCCAGAGGAAGGCAGGGGCATGGGAGACAGTGGCAAGCTCTGGGCACCCATCCCCATCCTGGCCCATCCGTCTCTGCTGAGCCTCAGCTAGCCTGACCACATCTGCCCCACTCTCCTCACCAGGCTAAACACATCCCCTCTCTCTGGTGCAGCTCCTCCAAGAAGCCTTCTCACCATGAAGGCATTGCATGGCCAGGCTGGGGATCCAGCAGAGTCCTGCCCCCTGGGATTGGCCCCCATCCTTGGAGGTCAGGACCTGTTTCAAGGACACAGTGCCCATCACCTGGCCTAGCCCCCTTCCATGGCGTCTAGGGAATGACTCAGCGATAAAACATTGCCTTTCTTCTTCCTCTTCAAATTAGAAGGGCCAAGGTGATTATTGGGTGGTTCCTGTGATGGTCTCTTGGTAGATCTTCAGGGCAAAGAGGTGGCAGAAAGCTGTGTTTGCAGCCCCTACCATTCTGTCCTCTTGGTCAACCAACCCATCATCCTAGAGTGGGACCCAGCACAAGTTCTGTACATGGCGTGCCTGGGTTCCAATTCCAATCTGTTGCTTACAGCCTCAGTTAAGACTATGTAAAATGGGGTGATAATTCCTCCCCCTCAGAGTCATGGTGAGGTCTCACTCCAAATCAGCACCCAAGGCCATATCTCACCCTCATGGGGTGCAGCAAGCACTTCATAAATGAAAGCACCCAGAAAGAGTGGTCCCTGGGTGGTCCCTGGCATCCCTGGCTGGTTCAGGTTGTGTTCCGGAGCCAAGCTGGTGAAAGCAGATGGGGCCACCCGAGCAGACCCTGACCTCTGGGCAGCCCTGGCAAGGACACTCACCAAGGCCGCCGCTGGAGGTGTGAGGCAGCAGCTCTGATGCCGGGCAGGGGTCCCATGGGGCATCGGCCCACTCTCCACTGTGCAGGGGCACCCAATCTCGGCCTTGAAGGGTTGGGGGCACCACGAATGGCACAGCTGGTGGCCTGTCCAGAGTCAGGGAGACAACATGTAGGTGGCAAGTGAATGGTGTGGTCTCAGAGCGCTCAGCCAGGACGGTTGAGCACCAGGGGCTGGAGGAAGAAAAGCCATCGGGAGCCAGGAGGAGGCCAGGGCACCATTTTCTGGGCCCATACCAGGCAACACACACACACACACGCACACACACACACACACACACACACAGCAGTGGGATTTGGAGAAGGAACACAGCACCTGACAGTGTCAGCCAGTCTGGGTTTGGATTCCTGTTCTGCCACTTACTAATTGTGTTCTCTGGACCTGTTGCTTATGTGCACTGAGCCTCAGATTCCTCACCTGGAACATGGGTTTCATAACACCTGCCTAATAGCTGATGTGAGGTTTCTGGGGTTTCTTTGTGATAGCTCCCAGCACCGAAGCAGCATAGAAGAGGCACCCCCATAAACAGAACTTTCCTTTTCGACCCCACCCTGAGGGAAATTCCAGGGGCGCACTTGGCCCCACATCCTGCCTCACCTGCTCAGTTGGGTCCTAGCATGCGGCTGGCAGGGCCTGTCCCGCTGCCCACTGGAGGCAGCTGTGGTGGCCATGGCTGGTGTCCCAGGCAGCTCCTCATAGGTGAGGGTGGCACAGAACCTTCTCCACAGACAGCAGCTTGCCCCGATCAACAGCAGCAGCAGCAGCCCCCCGATGGTGCCCCCAATCACCAGGGCCAGCTGCTCTGGGGGCAGAGACCACCAGTACTATGATGCCTGCCTGGGAAGGCCACTCTCCCTCACAGCCCTGGCCTGCTGGGGCAGAACTAGGGCAGCAACCCTGCCTCTGGGTTTGATCTCAGGAGTGATAGGAGCAGGCCTGCTGGGGATGGGTTCCGGGAGGGATGCTGCTGGCTAGGTTCCGCCAGCTCTCAGAGGAGAAGCCGTTTACCCCAGGGTCTGAGAGCCCTGGGCAGAACCTTCTAGTTTTCCTTGGAAAACAGCTGGCCCTGCCCTTGGGATTCTGGCTTAAAGAAGCCATTTCCTTGCGCTTCTGAGTAGAAATCAAACCTGCCCTCACCAGAACCTCCATATCCCCTGGGCTCCTGTTGAGGCCAGGAGGGGAGCTGGGGTGTGGACGCAGTCAGTTAAGGAAAGCCCTGAAAGGTACCTTCCCCCTGGTCTGCAATCAAACCTCTACCCTCTGGGGCCCTGGAACCTGCTGCAAGGCTGGACTCTTCTCTAACACCCGCTCCCTCCCCTAGCCCTCTATCAAGGTGAGCACGCGCTTAGGGGAGTTGGTGCGACGCGGTGGACGAGGTGGGGAGGAAGAGGGGGCAAGGCCCCATTGCTGCTGGCCCTCACACGTCCGCATTTGCGGGACCTAGGAGGCTTCGCCCCGGGGGTGCTCAGACGCTGGGTTCCAACCGCTGGCCACCTGGGGCGGGCCAAAAAGGTGCCTCCCTTAGGGTGACGTGCGGCCGCGGGGCATTCAGGTCTCAGGGATCTGCACTGGGTGGGGTGGTGAGAAGGCCGGACCCCCCACACCTCCTAAGCCGCAACTGACCGCGAAGAGCGGGCCTCAGCGTCTACTCCATCCCAGTGCCCCTCCAAGAGCGCGCCGAGGCCGGGCAGGGCAGGCGCTGCACCCCAGCGGGGGCGGCGGGGCGGAGGCAAGTGCTGGAAGGGTCGCAGAGGGGCCGGGGCTGGGCTGGGGAGGCGAGGCTCGCTTACCCGCCATGGGGCTGCTCCCGCAGGCTGGTCTCGCCGGTCTGGGCGGCTGGGGCTGGGCTGCCAGGCCGTCTCTTAAAGCGCCGCGGGGCGCCGTCGGGCGAGCACAGGGGCGGTCCGTGGTGCTGCTGGTGCCCAGCTGCGGCGCGGGGAGCCGCGCAGTGCACGGCAGGGGCAGGGACCCAGCGCCCCGAGGCCGCAGTCCCGCCCCAGCCAGTCCCTGGCCCAGGCCCAGGCCCGGCGGTGGAGGGGCGCAGAGCCGACCGTGAGCTCCCGGAAACCGCAGGGCTCCAGCCAGGGCGGGTCCCGGGCGCCAGGGGCGCCAGGGGCTCCCTGCGGCTTGGGGCAGGGTGCGGTGAGAGTACCACCCCCATCCCGGAGAGCAGGGCTACAGCCTTCACCGCCGCGTCTGACACAGGGCTCCGCACCCGACCCCTCACACCTGGTGGCCAGGACTGAGCCCCCGCCCTCCCAGATCCTCCTCAAGCCGAGGCCCCTCCAGCCGCAGCTCCGACCCCGGCTCGGGGGAGCCTTCCCGGATCCCGGGGTGGAGTCTCCGCGCGGGTCCCGGGCCCCAGCGCTGCCTGCCTGATGGCCTTGGGCAGGGATGCGGCGCTCGCGCACCCGTTCGCTCTCAGCGGACAAACCGGTCGAGAGCGCAATTCTGGAGCGGGTTCCAGAAGCTCCTGGGTTCCAATTCAGGCTCCTCACTCGCCAGCCCTGCGATTTGGGACAACTTAACGTTCGTATGCTGGGTTCAGTCTTCTCAATTGGGTTAATGTCCGTGAGGGGCTCTCGTAAGGGCGGCTGGCCTGCCGGTAACTTAAGAAGCATGTAAAGAACACTTAGAGCGGAGGAGCGGCGCGGCCCAGCCCCTGTTACGGTGGTTATCGGATGGAGGCCAGCGTCGCCTGGGTCCCCTCTGTACACCCAGCGCCTATTATTATGGTGATTATTAGAACGCAGGGCCCGTGCCCACTAGTCCAGGCTGGCGAACGCGCCTTGCGGGAAAGGCGGGAGTAAGGTCGCTGCGTGTCCTCTCTGGTCACCCCTCGGCGCGCCCTGGTCGCGCCCCTATGGTTCCCCCGCCGAGGCCTCGAGGCGTCTGAGTGGGGAGCGAAAGGAATGTGTGTATCTGTGGTGCAGGGGAGTGTGTGTGTGGGGGGGGGAGGGGGTGGTTGTGGGGGAGTGCGTGTTTTGGGGGGATGGACCTTCTCGTTTTACAGCCTTGAAGGTTATGTCCAGAGTCATAGCCTGGGTCCCACACCCCCGCGTCACCTGTGCCTGTCCTAGGGGCCAGTCAGTGTGCGTGAGGCTCCACCCTGCCTGGGCTTTGGCTCACCTAAGGCGAGGAGGGTGGTGAACTGGGGTGCCCCACTGGGCCGGGTCTGGGAGCCCTCAGGGCCAGGGTGCAGAGGCCGCAGCCACTCCCCTTCTAGGGTCTGGGCGGTGGGGGCATGAGAAGGCGGAGACCCAGGCCACTTCACCCAGTAACTGTCCTCAGCTGTGCGCTTAACTGGCGAGATCTCCGCTCTACTTGGAGACAGTCTGGGGTGTCTGGAGAATCCTCCCCCACTTCTGCTTACCCCAGGTCGCTGTGGGAGCAGGTGTCTCAGGAAATGGGGCCTGGGTCCCACCCAAGGCCTCGGGTCTGAGTTAGATGTCTGTATGTTTGTTGTTGCCCCTGCAACAAAGTACCACAGATTGAGTAGTTTAAGCCACACGCATGTTATCTCACAGTTCGGGGGGTCGGGAATCTAAACTGGGTTGGCAGGGCCTGTGCCTTCTGGAGGCAAGGGAGCTGTTTCCCAGCGTTTCCAGCTCCTAGAGGCTGCTAGCTAGTGGCCCTTTCCTTTGTCTTCAAAGCCGGCAGCACAGCCTTTTCTAACCTCTCCCACTCCAGGTCATTTCACATCAACTCTTTCTGCCTCCCTCTTGTAAGTGTGATACCCTACCTTGTTTTAACCTGAATTGACTGTCCCTTAGCTGAGAGAGCCAGACACACTCCATTTTGGCTCCTTCACTTGCAGCCCCTTACCCACCCCCCTTCCTCAAGGACTTAACTTGTGCAAGCTGACTCCCAGCACATCAAAGAATGCAATTAATGGATAAGATACTGTGGCAAGCTATATCCGCAGTTCCCAGGAATTTGCCCAGTTGATAGTACCCTAAGCCCCCACATTTGTGTCCGGTTGATGGTACCCAAAGCCCCCGCATCTATCGCCTTGTGATGGATTTAAAACCCCTGCACCTGGAACTGTTTGTTTTCCTGTAACCATTTGTCTTTTAACTTTTTGCCTGTTTTGCTTCTGTAAGAGTGCTTCAGCTAGGCTCCTCCTCCCCTTTCTAAACCAAAGTATAAAAGAAAATCTAGCCCTTTCTTCAGGGCCGAGAGAATTTTGAGCACTAGCCATCTCTCGGTTGCCGGCTAATAAAGGACTTCTGAATTCATCTCAGAGTGTGGCGTTTCTCTATAAGAGGCTCATCAGATAATCCAGGATAACCACCACCCCCATCTCAAGATCATTAACTTAATCACACCTGCAAAGCCCCTTTTGCTATGTAGTCACGGGGTTGGGGATGAGGACTTGATATCTCTAGGACCATTGTGTGGACCATGTTGTCCATGCAGTACCCTGGGAGGGGTGGCTTACATTTCCCCTTCCTCTGTCTAGAGTTCAGTGTGCCTCAACACTGGACTCAGGCAGCTAGCAAGGCTCAGGGGACCCCTACATGGAACCCGTCAGCTATCTTGACCCCTTCCCCCAGCTGCCATGCACCCCCACCTGACCACCCCAGTGGGGCATGGCATCCACACCAGCTGCCTCCATGATTGCGCCCGAGCTGTACTCAGGCTGTTCTGGGGGTGGAGTTGGGTAGTGGGATGTTTTTTGAAAAGGGAATCCCTTCTGGCACTTCCTGAGTGCCAGGCCCAGAGCTGCCATCTCTCGACCCCCATGCTGTGCTTTTCCAAAGTCCCCATCTTTCTCTGTGTCACCAAGTCCTGACAGCTGTTCCTCCTCTGTCCATCTCTATCATGGCAAAAAACCTTGCCCAGCCCTCCATCACCTCTCATCTGGAGCTCTGCATGGGCCTCCTCTCAGCTCTTCAGATTCCATGCTGCACCCACTCCCCTTCCCAGCTGTTGTCTTCCAGGCTCCCCTCCCATTCTCATCCCCCCCACCACCCATCTCTCTGCAGTGCTTGTGCCCAGACTGATGCAGCTACTTCCACGGCTCTGCGTATGCACTGGGCTCTCCCACCATGCTGCTCTCTCCCTGTCTGAAATACTCAATGCCCCTCCCACCCTCCTTCTCCACTGCTCATGTTTCAAGATGAACCCCCAGCATCTTGCCTTCTGTGAAACCCTTCATCATCCCCTCGTCCTCATGGTCCTTGCAGCTACCATGCCGAATATGGGACTCTGTGCCTGAGACTGCTGCCTCACTCTTCCTGGCAGCCGAGGGCCTCCATGAAGGCAGGGGGCCGTGTCTTATTCAGCTTGGCATCGCCACTATCCACCTCCAGGGCTGAGGCTGTGCTGAATGGCAGATGAAGGGCTCTTGCCATTGGGATGAGCTGCCCCAGCTTCTGCCCACATTGTCCATGCATCATACACATCCTGGGCTCACAATTTAGGGCCCAACAGGAGCTCCCTGCCCTGGTCCTGCAGACCAGCTTCTGGGGTCTGCAAAATCACGTTGTCAGCTCTATCTGCAAAATCCTTACACTGCCAGCCAGCCCACTGAGTTTTGAGTCAATCTTCCTCCACGGGAAGATAAAAGCAGGTGGCAGGAGGGAGCTCATCCTTCTTGCTGCTCCTGATGTTCTGAGCATTGAGATGCAGGCCTGATGTACACGATCCCATGGAGCCCTGCCTCATGTCTGCCCTGCAGGGTCATGACCTCCTCCTCAGATGAGGAAACTGAATCAAAGAGGTTTCCTGGCCCACCCACTAAGTGGTGGATCTAGGCCTGGCACCTGGCTCCCTCGTTCCTTCTTCACCAGTGAGCAGCTGTAGGGCAAGGACCCAGGAGACCCTCTCCTGTGGCGCTGACCGTGAATCAGGCAAAGAGCCACAGGCACTTTGGGCAGCCTCCCCTCCATCCACTGCCCGGGGGCTCTGAGACCTGGCTGGCCTGGAGCCAGCTCCCCAGAACAGAAAGGCATCCAGGGTCTGGCAGCAGCTCTGGCTCTGCTTCCTGTTTTCAGACCTTGTTCTTCCCCGTGTCTGTGGAGCTGGGAAGCCTGGAAACAGCAGCAGACATGGGTTCTGTCTTTCATGGCCAAGCGGAAGTTGTATTTCCATGGCAAAAGCACTTCCAAGGAGGGCTGCAGGAAGTCCAAGAGTTTAAAGACCTGCAAATGCCTGCAGGTGATTAATAATTCATTGCAGCAGATGATTACGAGAAAGGCCACTTTCAATTAACCTTAAGAATCATCCCTGTCTAAGGAAGTGTCATCTCTCATCACTGAGGAACACAGAGGCCATAGCAGGATAAAGGCCACGCTGAGAAGCATGTGGAAGACTGTGTTTCTCAATTCATGCAAATTGCACCAGGTCAGCCCAGGTCCTTCTTTGTGAGGAGGGGGAGGGTTCCCCTGCCAGCATCCTGTCTGCTCTTTGGTTCTGCTATGGCGGCCTCAGACTTAATTTCCTCCAGCCCCTTCTTTTGAGGAGCTTGGAGGGAGTATCTTTCCTTGTTGGATCAGAACTTCTCGTCCCCCACTGAAACATGCTGGCTCCAAATTGTGTCTCCTCCTGCAGACAGTCACTCCGACTGGCAGGGTGGGCTTGGGCCTGTGGCTCCCTCCTGCCCCTGGGCGTGGTTTCTGCTTCCTGCCCTGCTGCTCCCCTGCCTGGCAGGCCTGCTCCCCTGCCTCCTCTCAACCAGCACCAGAACTCTGCCTTCCCTCTGGAGGGAACAACTTCCTTCCCCTTCCCTGTCCACACAGTACCTGGCACTCCCCTACTCACCCCTATTCTAGCGCTTTGTCCATGACCCAGGCCTGGCTGCTCAGCCTAGTTCATTTCTGGCTGCAGTGATAGGTTCAGGGATGTCCCTGTGACGCCACCCCCTGCCCCCGTGAGAGGCTAATCAGGATCAACACTGGAATTTTATGGGATGTACTGGGGAAGAGACACCTCCTTTCTGGCAGGAGTTGTTGAGCAGAAGGAGCTAAGTCTGGGGCCATGGAAAGCCCCACGTGGAGGAGCCAGAGAGGATGGAGCCAGCACAGGTGCTGAGGTGGGGACCTATGTTGTCCTGGCAGCCCCTGCATCCTGCTGCATGCAGCCCCTGCCCCTGGAGGGGTGGAGAGAGAGGGCGGCAGAGGGGAGTGAGCCCGCCAAGGCCACTGTGTTAGCAAGGAGCTGAGCCGGCGTTGGCATCAGCTGTTCCAGCTTCAGTCTCTTGACCACCAAGGCTGCCCCTCAGCATGGAGCAGAAGTCAGGAACTGAGGCAAGGCTTGTCCTTCCTCAATCGTCACCTCTGGGCACTCAGCTGTCCTAAAGTTTTTTGACCCCCCTTAGGGATGGGATCTTTTCAGCAAGGGCCATTTGTGGCAAACAACAATTAATTTACTGCTCAGCCTCCATGGCTCACTCCTGCCCCTCCTCCAGCTTCTGTGCTAACAACTGACCCACATTTTTTTTTTCAGGAACAGCAATGTGCTCAGTCACCAGGCATGCATCCAATGAGCCATAAGAGGGCAGAAAGACTTTGTTTTTTGATGTATTAATATGCTAAATTGATGTGTCGGTTAAGACATGAAGAAATTAGCTATCAAACTCCAAAGAGTGGTGACAGACTAAGACGCAGATTTCCAAAGGTGGCTGAGAACCTGCTGGACAACTGTCCCCCAGTGAGAGGAAGGGCTGAGAGAGTGAGGGAGGGAGGGGATTTGCCAGATTCCTTTCTTGAGGGCTGGGGCTGTGATGTGGACTCCCACCTCCTACGGCTGGCCAGGGCTGGGGAGGGGGGTGTGCTCGGGGAGGGGGCTGTGCTGAGGTAGAGAGGGGGCAGGTGGAGCAGAGGACAGCCTGCCCTCCAGCCCAGAGAGTGGGGGATTCAACTCTGCTCTGAGAGCTTGCTTTCTGTCCCCTGGAGTTTGGGAGGCAGACGGACTGCTGGTGGAGGTGCACAGGCAATTGTGGCTTCTTGGTTCTGATGAAGAGAGTAGGCAGCTGCTGTGTTGGGAAGCAGCCGGGCTCCCTCAGATGCCAGCCAAAGGTTTGTGGATCTTGGGCACATGACACGCCACTGGTAGTGCGAGTGTGGCTCAGAGTGTGATGGGGAATTGTCACTGACATGTGCCTGGGGACTTGTCAGGATGTGGAATGTGTACATATTTCCCACAACCAGACATTGGCCATGTGAATGAAAGAGCCGGTGTGTGATCATCTCAGTCCTGACCACAGGCCCTACCCAGAGGGCATATGTAGCACAGTGGAAGGAAGTAGGAGGTGAACTTTCTAGGGGTAGAGGAGGGAGCAAGTGGCTTCTGATTCATTTGCTCAGGTCAAGGGCACTCTGGTTCTGGAGTGGGTGTCAGGGGTGAAGGATCGAGGGTTCCTTTCAAAGGGCCCATTTGAGCATGAAACCTCTTCCAGATCTGGAGAGGTAAGGCATCTTACGAGACCATCAAGACAGAACTTTCCAAATCCCCTTCCTTTCCTCTGCTCATGCTCTTACCTCAGAAGTCTGCTACGGGCAGTGAGAGAGGAGAGAGGAGGCTGACCATGGCACCCTCTCCAAGGGCAGAGGCTGTCTGTGGCTGGCCCTCACCATGGGAGATGGGGAGACTTAACTCAAGTTTGCAGATTTGATTATTACCTAGGTGGCCTTTCTGATGACTGTCTTGGGACTGCGGGGACAGTGGCTAGAAGGGAATGATCTCTGCTGAATACCTGCTCCTTCCAAGTGTGGCCTCCATAGGGAGCTCGGGGCTCTCACATGTCCTCCTTTGTTCCCTCAAATAGATCCCAAGATCTTGAACGAGACCATTTTACTGGGCTTTAGTGCTCAAGGCTGAGGTTTCACTTCCATAAAAAAATCAGTTAAAAGTGCTGAGCCTGTGGGAAGGCTGTTCTTTGGTTACCTTCTGTGGTCAATTAAATGATTGGTCTCAAGTTCTCTCTTCCCTGTACCGGTATTGTACTCCCACAGCCTTGCAACATGGTGGGTGCATTAGACTGTTTATATTGCTTATAAAGGAATTCCTGAGACTGGGTAATTTATAAAGAAAAGAGGTTTAATTGGCTTACAGTTCTGCAGGCTGTAAAGGAAGCATGGTGCCAGCATCTGCTTCTGGTGAGGCCTCAGGAAGCTTCTACTCATGGCAGAAGGTGGAAGGGGAGCAAGTGTGTCAAGTGGCAAGAAAGGGAACAAGAAAAAGGGATGCCCACTTTTTTAAACTACCAGATCTTGCCTGAACTCAGAGCAATAACTCACTCATTACTAAAAGGAGGCACCAAGCCATTCATGAGGGATCTGCTCCCATGATCCAAATACCTCCCACCAGGCCCCACCTGCAACATTGGAAGCCACATTTCAACATGAGATTTGGAGGGGAAAAAACTTCCAAACCATATCAGTGGGACACATGCTTCCCCATGATTTGACTTTGAGCATGGCCACATGACCTGCTTGGGCCACTGGAAAGTTGGCAGAGATGATGCGGCAGAGGCTGGAACTGCACCGTGCGGCTGGCCTTGCTCTCCTGTGCTTTAGCCAAGGCGGTGAGATGAGCATGGCCCAGGGAGAGCTGGCTCCAGGCCAATGAGTGCTCTGTGGTGCAGGTCCAAACCCCACCTGGAGCCTGAGATCAAGGAGTTCAGCCTGAGCCAGCAGACCCCAGCCAACCCACAGACATGGAAGGGAAAAATAAATGCTTCTGGATGATGCCATAGAGACTCTGTAAGCAGCAAAAGCTGAGCAAAACACTGTCACTCTCTTTTGATTCCTTTGGTGAGACTAGAGCTGTGAGCTGGCAGGGCCACACCCCTTGTCCCCTCTCCACGTGCCTCAAAGTTGTGGCTGAAGGTGGATGATCTTGTCACTTTTCCTTACTGGCTGGCCTTGGTCTTCTCTGGACCAGCCTCTGCTGCTGTGGGAGGAATAAAGTGCTAAGGGGTAGTGGGTTTAGGGGAAAGAGAGAAGGCTTGTGGGGGACATCTGAGGTTTTCACACAGCATACTTTATCCTTCTTTTGTTGCAGTGGTGCCCCAGTCAAAAGTGCCCTCTGGGAAAGCCCTTCCCTCCTCTTGGGTGTGGTTGACTCCACCCTCTTCTTCTTCCAGCTGGGCTTGATTCCTCCACAGGTCCCTCCTCCTGGCTGCAGAGATTGGTTCAGGGAAACACAGAGCCAATGAGCTGCAAGGCTGATTTTTCTGACAATGCTGGACAGAGGCAAGGGTTCTTCCCGAGGGTCTTGAATTTAATGAGAGAATCTCAAATGATGAGAAAAAAGCTGGTCTGAGGACAGGGTCAGCTGAATAGGTCGTACCCAGAGAAAGAGAGGGAGAGAGATACTGGATGCTGGTGATGGGTGAATGAGACAAGGCATGAAGCTAGAACACCACCTGGTTTTTCACTTAGGTGAGCCCACAAATTCCGATGTGTACTTAATGCCAGCTTGAGTAGGTATCTGCCATTTGCAATCACAAGTCTTCAATGATACAAGATTGCCCACCTGCTTTGGGCCGTCTGTGGCCCAAATTTGTACCTGGCCTTATTTTAGGGACATACACCTTTCTTGGGTTTGCACACACACATGTGTGTTTACATTTGGACATAGTAGAACAAAATAATTTATATAAGGATTTTGAAATGCTGACCAAATAAATAATCTACACCAAATACTTTACTTACATTGTTTTATTCATTCATTCTTTTTAAAAAATTATTTATTCTTTACAACCACCATCTATGGCAGGTTTTTTTTGTTGTTGTTGTTGTTGTTAGATGGAGTTTCGCTCTTGTTGCCCGGGCTGGAGTGCAATGGCACGATCTCAGCTCACTGCAACCTCTGCCTCCCAGGTTCAAGAGATTTTCTTGCCTCAGCCTCCTGAGTAGCTGCGATTACAGGTGCCCACCACCATGCCTGGCTAATTTTTGTATTTTTAGTAGAGATGTGGTTTTACCATGTTGGCCAGGCTGATCTTGAACTCCTGACCTCAGGTGATCTGCCTGCCTCGGCCTCCCAAGTGCTGGGATTACAGGCATAAGCCACCATGCCTGGCCTATGGCAGGTACTTTTATCACTTAGGAAATCTTTTGGTTACAATTTACAGTAAATCTGACTAAATCTGACTAAATAAGCCTAAATAGGGCTTACACCATAAGAAGATTTGCTTTCGTATTTCATTAGCTCTAAGATGTCATTGATTGTGAAATGCACCACTGTTTTGCACCACTTTCTTTGTATAAGCAAAACTTGCTGCCAAACCATGAAGCCATTCTTTACTATCAAATCAGATATGAGAAGTGACAGTGGTGTCAGAATGTGAAAAAAAAAGGCCTTCCTTGGAATGGGGAGAAATGGTGTTACTTAGCAAGACATTTGTGGTTGGGTAGCCTCAGATTTGACTTGGCAGCTCAACATCATCATCTAAGATCCAGATTCCTTGGATGTGTCACCTGCTCTGCCACCTTCAAGTTTCGAGATGGCTTGGTGTCTTCTAACACCAAGTTCAAAGGCAGGAAAAGAAGGAAAGGAATCTGATAGGGAAAGTGTTTATTTCCTCACTCACATCCCTCATCTTATCAGAAAGCCTCCAGCACACTGACCCTCCATACCTTGTTGCTCACTGGCCAGACCCACACACAGCCATGCTGGTTTCAAGGAGACCAAGAAAGTGTGTATCTGACCTTTTCAGTCCTATAATGGGAGACTGGTTGAAGGAAGAGGACATAAGAAATGGCTGTCAATGCCACGGGATTTCAATTCCAATTTTACAGATGAGAAAACTAAAGCTGGAAGAGGTTAGGCAACTCGCCCAAGGTCACACAACTAGAAATCGGTCAACCCCAGATTTGAATCCAGTGTCGAATGATTCAAAGTTCTTCCCATTGCACCATAAATCATCTGTACATGAAAGACCGAAGACTGAGAAACCTCAAATACAGAGCAGGTAAATAGTAAGGAACGTGTTTGGATGAAATACCAGAACACCTGACCATCAGTGGATCAGATAGGGGTTTATTGTTGTTATGTAGCCAGCACCCCAGAGATCAGCAGCCCAGGGTGGCACAGATGCTTAAGGGTTTCATCAAGATCCCAGGCTCCCTCATCATCCTCCTTCACCTTCTGGAGTGTGTGGTTTCTGTCCTTAAGTTCACAGTATGGCTGCTGCGTCTCAAGGCATCACATCTAGGTTTCCAAGAAACCCCTACCTAGTGATTCCCTCTTACATCTCATTGGTTAGAACAAGGTCACGTGTAACTAACCCCAGATACAAGGAAGTTACAAGGAAAAGTAAATATATTTAGCTAGACAATTGTCATCCCAGTCAAAACTGGTGCTCTGTTTTGGAAGAAGAGGAGAGAGAAATTGGGTAGTGGTTGTCATTAGTGAAGTGGGTATTTGGCCACTATATTTGGTTTTCTTTCTTCTAGGCAGATGGTACAACCCTTGGGGTTAGTTAAGGATGTGTAACTTACTTTGATCAATGAAATGGGAGCAGAAGTGAGATGTATCACTTTCTAGTGGAAGCTTTAAAAGTTGGTGCATAAAAAGACACATGCACCCATATGTTCATCACTGCGCTATTCATGGTAGCAAAGACATGGAATCAACCCAGGTGCCCATCAATAGTGGGTTGGATAGAAAGAATGTTGTGCATATACATCATGGACTACTACACAGCCACAAAAAGAAGGAAGACCTGTCCTTTGCAGCAATATGGATGCAGCTAGAAACCATTATCCTAAGTGACTTAACATAGGAACAGAAAACTATATACTGCATGTTCTCACTTGTTAAATGAGAGCTAAACATTGGGTACACATGGTCATAAAAATGGGAACAACAGACACTGGGGAATACAAGAGAAGAGAGGGAGGGAGGGGGGTCAAGAGTCGATTAAAAACTGCCTATTGTGTACTATGCTCCTCTTGAGTGATGGATTCATTTCTCCTCCAAACCTCAGCCTCAAAATATACTTTTGTAACAACCTGCACATGTACCCTCTGATTCTGAAATAAAAGTTTAAAAAAAGACAGTTGGTACATTGTTCCCCAAGTTCTTTTCCATTGATGTGATGACTGTAAAAGCAAATGCCAAGAGTCCTCCACGATGAACAGAGCCCTCTTGCCAAACCTGTGATAGGCATAGAGCAAGGGTGGGAAATAGACTTGTGTTTAGTTAATCCACTGCTATTTTTGTGAGGTCGCTATTGCAACATAACCCAGACTATCCTGACACAGGTCGGCAATCAGCAGTGTCCACACATAGTCCTCAAGCAAGGTCATGATCAGACCAGGGAGGAGCCAGGGCCTAAGCCTGAACTGGCATAAACAGTGCCCCAATTTCTCCAAAGTGAGGACTGTGCCAGTGGGCCTCAAGACAAGAATTGGGAGTCCACAGCTCCCAGACATTGGGGACCCCCTCCTATCTGGAGCTGCCTGGCTGCCACATATGAGCCTGGTGACCCAGCCACACCCACCAGCTAGCTCATCAGCAGTGTCCATGTCATTATCGAGGCAGAGAAATCCACTCAGCGAGGATTTCCCACGTTAGCCCAGCATCCTTACTTCTCGCTCATAGTAACAGAAACCATGTTCCCGCCTCCAACAGATGCACTGTGCTCTGCACTCCCCTGGTCAGTGGGTGGGTGCATGATGCAAACTGGGCCAGTCAGATGCTTTCATTCTGAAACTTGAATCTTGAGTGAAATAAGCCAGACTCATTGGGGACTGATTGGAATTTACTCACCCCGGTGGAGGCACATGGAAGAGGCCCGTTGGGTCCTGCTATCTATGTCCTCAGAGCTTCACTTACCACAGTTCGGAGAGGACAGCACATCCTCCAGGGGTTCTGAACCTGAATGCAGCAACTGGTTGAGAACCTGAGTTCTGCGCTGTCTTCTGTTGCAGTGGGAGTGAGTAGGGTTTTGGTGGTATATGGTATAACTGCCTTATCTTGAGAAAGAATATTTTAACAGCTGTGTTTATGTCAAGAGGGGTATGTGTAACATTCAACAACCAATGCTGCAGATTGCAGAGGACATTTGTTGTTTTTGCCTGCTCAGCATCTATTCTTGCTGCTTCTGGTGACAAAATTCAGTGGTCCCATTTCTCTTTTAACTCCAGAGCTAGATTTGATCCAGACCTGGCCAGTCAGAGCATCACATGCTGCAGGCCTCAGTGAGTGGTTAGGAGCTGGGCAGTGGCCTACCTTAGTTTACTATGACTTGAACCTGGAATTTGTGGGCAACTTTTGGGAGCCATAATAACAGTAATGGCAGCCGGGCTCACACCTGTAATCCCAGCAGTTTGGGAGGCCGAGGTGGGCAGATCTTTTGAGGTCAAGAGTTTGAGACCAGCCTGGCCAACATGGTGAAACCCTGTCTCTACTAAAAATACAAAAATCAGCCAGGCGTGATGGTGGGGGCCTGTAATCCCAGCTACTCAGGAGGCTGAGGCAGGAGAATCACTTGAACCTGGGAGGCAGAGGTTGCAGTGAGCCGAGATTGCGCCACTGCACTCCAGCCTGGGCAACAGAGAGAGCCTCAGTCTCAAAAACAAAACAAAACAAAACAAAACAGTAATGGCTAGTACAGTTAACTTGGCACTGTCCTTGTTCCTTAAACTCTTGTCCATGGACTTAGAGCTGTGAGGACATAAACATAATCCAGGAGTTCCCAAGACCCACTATGTAGGGAGAGCCTGGCTAAAAGAGAGAGGTGCCAGTTCTGATGACATCATTTAAGCTAGGGGCTCTGGCCAAGCCCGGTTACCCTGGACTGTTGACTTACAAGAAACAGTGAAAAGTCCCTTTGGTGCTTAAGCCAATTTGAGTTGGGTTTCTGCCTCTTGAAGTCAGAAGAGTATTGCCTAATACAATAATTCTGTGTAGGCATACAAGACACATCAGTGGTGGTACCTGCCATGCCCGCAGCCCTAGAGGAGGAGACAGCCAGCAGGTGGCCCTATTTTAGATCATGTAACAGTTGGACAAGAGCAAGCAAACACCTGACTCAGGCTCTGAATCAGGCTGGTCAGGATTTGTGAGTTTTCCTCTGGCATTAAAGATGATCTATGTCTATCCAATTTCTCTTTTTTAAATTGGAAGTTGAGAAACAGGGCAGGAGCAAGACAGCCAGCTGCAAGGGAAGAAGCATGAAGGATATGTGAAGACGTGCCACTAGGAGGAGCTGGCATGGTGGCAACTCAGTTTCAAAGCAGCAGAAATTCAGCATCAGGAGAGGGCGCCAGTTGGTGGAAAGAGCTGGCAGAGCACAGTCAGGAGGAAACCGGTCTGGGAAGCTCCATGAAGAGAGGGAGCAATGGCTATTTCTGAAGTTGTCTCGCCTATTCCTGAGGACTTTTCAATTCTGGTTCAAATCCTCATGCATCCTTATAACAAACCCATTTTTTCCCCCAAACAAGTTGCAGGTGGTCTGAGACCAAAGCAGACATCCCCCTTCCATGTTGCCTCTGTAACCCTCCCACGGTGACCAGCGTATCACTAAGGACACTTTTGGTAGCAAAGGATGGAAATATAATGCAAATTGGTTTTTAAAAAAGGAAATGTATTGTCTTCCTTAATTGAGATGTCAAGGGATGAGACTAGCCTTAGTCCTCACTGAGGTCAAGGCTCCCGGGATGTTCTCGGGAACTTGCTTCTGCACATCCTCACTTTGTCCTTCTCTGGGCGGCTCCAGTATCCGGCTTCATGTAAGATGGTGGCTTCATCGCCACATTCCCTTGGGGAATAGAGTGAGTTTCTTTCTCCAGATTCCCAGATAAAGTATTTATCATTGGATCTAAGTGGGGTACACACTTATCCTGAACAATCTCTGGCCAGGAAACTGATACAGTGATTGGCTGAGGCCTAGCATACACCCCTCTTCTAAGACCCACATGAGCGTAGAGGAGGTAGAGTGTGAGTAATATATTTGTGGAATATATGTTGAACTGCTGGAAGAGAGACTTCAAATAAGATTGGCTTAAGCAAGATAGAAGTTTCTTTCTCCCTCACCTGCCTGCAGGTAAGCAGCCTGGGAGCCCAGGTTTTTTTTTCCCCATCTTGTTGCTTCTCTATCCCTAGGTATTGTGATGTGAGATGTTTCACCATCACCTCCACTGCCTAGCCAGTGGAAACGGAAAAGGCGGAAGAGGAAGGCTCGCCCCTCTGGTTAAAAGTGTCACCTCTCCCTACTTCAATGCTGCTGGTCAGTTACTTGGCCAAATATAGCTTCTAGGAAGTGAGGAAATACAGTATTTTTTTCTGGATTTCCGTATCTCCAGATAAAAAAACAAGAATTCTTTAAACATAGGAGATGAGTGTGATCGGGGGCAATTAGCAATCTCAGCCCCAGCCTGTCCCATTGGCCAGTCAAATTTCCATGTGTCCCCTCCCCAGGGGAGACAACCCTAAAGTTGCATCCAGTGCCTATGTCCAGCTCCAAGCCTGGGACCTGTGGAGGGACAGCCTGCACCATCAGATCTGATGTGGTTTTTGTTTTATTTTTGTTTTTTTAGACAAGTTCTCACTATGTTGCCCAGGCTGGTCTCGAACTCCCGGGCTCAAGCAATCCTCCCATCTTGGCCTCCCGAAGTGCTGGGTTTACAGGTGTGAGCCACCACACCAGGCTTCTGGATGCAGTTCTTTATGGTGTATTGCCCTGGAACCCTTACATACATTGCCTGCCTCCTTACACCCAATATGCAACAGCCAGTAAAAATAAGATAAACATGGTGGGAAACCTCATCCAGAAGAGGGAAAAACACACCCACCAAATCCTGGTGGGCAGAAATTGTGAAGGTTCCCAGGGAGTGGAGCAGAGTCCTTGGATGACAGCGCCTCTCTCCAGGAGTATTCCCTGGGATAGACATCTTTGGACCTTGGTGGTCCCCTCTTTGTCCACTGCCTTCCATGGCACAACTAAAGGGCATCAAACGATGTATCCCTCTTAGGGCTATACAGCTTAAACATTTTTTTTTAGAGAGAAGGTCTTGCTGTGCTGCCCAGGCTGGACTCGTGTGCCTGGGGCTCAGGAAATCCTCCCACTTCAGCCTTCAGAGCAGCAGGGACTACAGGCACATGCCACCACACTGGGCCTGGGCTGCATAGCTTTTGCAGCCCACTTTTTGCAGGTGCAGGTTTGGTGGGTAGGGGTCGGTTGATTTAAGGAGTCAAAAATGCAGACTTGTACCAGCCCGACTCATGGTTCTTTGGTAACACATGCCCCTTAAAATCTCAATTGGCTTTCTGCCTATTTGTGGCTAGTTATCCTCTGGGGCAAGTACAGGTTGGGTATCCCTTATCTGAAATGCTCGGGGCCAGAGTGTTTCATATTTCAGATTTTGGAATATTTGCATTATCCTGGCTGAACATCCCTAATCTGAAAATCCAAAATCTGAAATGCTCCAATGAGCATCATGTGTGCTCAAGAAGTTTTGGATTTTAGAGCATTTTGGATTTCTGGGTTTTTGGTTTAGTGATGCTCAACCTCCTTTAGATTAGCAGTATTTAAGCCTAAAAATGGTGGCCTTTTATTTATCAGCCTGTATGTTATATCTATTCACCTCCCTCTCAACCTGAGACCAGCGAAAACACTCAACTTGGACTGGAAGGCAGCTTCCTTGATCTGGTCTTTGTGGCCGAGCGGCTGTCATTGTCAGGTTGAGAAACGTAATCAAGTGTTTGAGAAAGACTAGGGTCCATAGTCTTGTCTCCTGCTAATCCTGCTTCTTCAGAAAATTATTCTATATCTGCCTCAGTTTGTGGTACAGAAGCAATAGATTTTTCTCTTTATTTTTTTAAATAAATATAATTTTATTCTAAAGGAATATTATTATATGGCAACACTTTGAGAACCATAAAGGCGCCTTTGAAATGTTGTTAGAAAATCACTTAAATCATATTTTTTATGAATAAATTGATGCCATTTTCAGGCACAGTATTTTTTTGGGCAAGCACTGTACAGCATAATTCAAAATATACCCATTTACAGAATCCAATTAGGTATTTTTCTGCTCACAATTATATGATGGCTGATTTCTGCTCACAATTATATGATGGCGGATTTCTGCCTACATTATGATATGATATGATATGATATGATATGATATGATATGATGGCTGATTTCTGCCTACATTATGATATATAACTGCTCTACAGAACATGAAACAGAATTTCATAACATCAGTTATATTTACACTACTTTAAAAATCTTTCAAGATATAAGAATCAAGCTATCAAATATGGAGTTTTTAACAAGCAATAGTTTTTTTTTTTAGGTCTGAAAACTTTTTAAACTGAGGTTATAGCCCATAGGCAAAGGGAGCTTCTTTCAGCACTGCTGTATTCTCTTCAGTATCTGCCTTCCTCGGGCTAGCTCTGTCCACGTTCTTCTGGGTCATGTAGGACTCTGTTGAGAGTGGCAAGAAGCATCCAGCAAACACCTGCATTCTGAAATTTCCAACTGTTTCCTTTAGAGCAAGAGCTGACTTTGCAAGGTATTGCAGGAATCAGTTGATCGACTGCTATGGCATGGCATAAACAGGGTTTCCAGATCATCATATTTATGTATAGCATTTAAAATATGTTTTCAGTTTTGTTACCAGCAACACAGCCCTTCTTGGTAATAATTAGTATACAGCCTTTACTAATAATTAGTATACAGCACTAATAATTAGTATACAGGCTTTCCTTCTGCAAGAGAGCACTCACCCCAAATAGTGACTGAAATAGACTGGAGGTTAATTTCTCTTTCATGGAAAACCTAGTTAGAGCTAGTCCAGGGCTGATAGGCAACCACAGTGTGTTGGGACACAGGCTCCTTCTCTTTTGTCACTCTGACATCCTTAGGGTTTTAGCTTCATCTGATTGATATAAACTGGCTTCACACCATGACTTCATTCCTACCAGGGGAGAGGGAAAGGGGCGAGGCACATTTCTTCTGAAGTGCATGACCGAGAAATTGCAAAAATTACTTCTGCTAACATCTCACTGCTGAGAACTTAATCTACAGCATGTTGGGTGCACGATGCCTGGGAAATGTGGTCATTATTCTGGGCAGTTATGTACTCAGTTAGAGGAATTCTATTACTATAGAAGGGGACAATAAGTATTGGGGGACAATTAGCAGTCTCTGTCTCGGGATGATCCCCCAAATGAAATGGGGGCTGGATTGTGGGGAGCTGAAAAAGCAACAGATGTCTACTACAATGCCTCTCCTCTGAGCACTCCAGCCCCTTCTATTCCCTTCAATCCTTGTGACCTAATTGTCCTTTGGGCATCTGTCTCAGGTCCCCTGAATCCCCCATCATGTAGGCTTTGGGGCCAAGGCACCTCTGATTTAGCCTATATTGTCAGCTTGCAGCTGATAATTATTATTAGGGACTCAGGAAAATGTCTGTGGAACTAAATTGAGGTAGTAATAGGCATTTCTGAATCAACTGCCTTCCATTCATTCATTCATTCATCCAGCCAGCCAGCCAGCCAGCAAACATCTATTATATGCTAAGTCCCAGGGAGTCAGTGTCTTTTTGTCAGACAAAAAGACAGCCTTTTCATTTATGGCTCTTTTGGCTAGAGGGGTCTCTTGTACCCTAGAGATATTTTGCTAGAAAAGCAGATGCTGTTTAACTGAATCAAAGCTCTCTCTTCCTTAGGCATTGATACATCCCAACTTAGCATTTCCTCAAAGCTTGCACAGAGGCTGTCCCCAGAGGTAATTTGTGCTTTGGGACAGCTCAGTATCAGGTTCCCTTAGTCTGGCAACAGTGTCTTGCCCTTTCCTTTGGGGAACCACTCTTCACTAGTCCTGTGACCCACTGTCAGCCCTACTGCAGGGCCCCACCATTTTGGGAAGAGCAGTGACACAGGCTGGTCAATTGAAGAGCTCTCTCTCTGGTCCAGGATTGTCAAGTAGGGGCAGTAAGACTTGATTTGTGGGTTGTTTAGATCCAGAGATGTGAGGATGTAGATTTAAGGTTGCCAGCAACTTTCTTTCCCAAGAGGAGAGAGACTACGGTACCTCGGTACTACCCCATCATTTCTTCTTGCTCTGCTATTACATAAAGAAGTCACCTCTTTCCTCCTATTGAACTCCTGAATCTCAGCCCATTGAGGACCTTATTGCCAGTAGCAATTCTGGCTCCTGTATCTCCTGTCCACTCCTTCTCAATGGGTACTTCTCCCTAGCAGTCAAATGTGCTCAGTTCGTTACAATGTGTAGTGGATACTTGTTTCTGGTCACTCAGGCTTCAACCTCCCTGCTGGGGAAAACTGTCTTGTGAGCAGTCTCGGTGGGGCAGTGGGTGATCCTAGAGAGGCATTGGGCCAGGTATTCCTCCAGGTATGTCGATCCAAGGGCAGAGGGCATGTGGCCATAGCTCGGCCAAACAAACTGCCACTCCACTGGGATTTTGAATCTTGAGCTGAGAGACACACCAAGGACCATGGACAGGAATCCTTTCTGTGGAGGTGGCACTGGGGAGCAAGTGGTTCCTCCTGTTGGGATCTGGAGTCACCTGGCTCCTGCCTTGAAGAACATGGCTGAAAGCATTAGCATCTGGAGATCCCTGCGATCTTTTGACATATCCCCTTTTGCTTAACTTTTTTTTTTTTTTTTTTTTTTTTTTTTGAGACAGACTCCCGCTCTGTTGCTAAGCTGTAGTGCAGTGGCACAATTTCTGCTCACTGCAACCTCCACCTCTCGGCTACAAGCTATCCTCCTGCCTCAGCCTTGGGAACATGCCACCCTGCCCAGCTAATTTTTTTTTTTTTTTTTTTTTGAGATAGAGTCTTGCTCTGTTGTCTAGACTGGAGTGCAATGGCGGTGCGATCTTGACTCACTGCAACCTCCGCCTCCCAAGTTCAAGTGTCCTGATTCTCTTGTCTTAGCCTCTCGAGTAGCTGAGATTACAGGCAGACGCCACCATACCCGGCTCATTTTTTGTATTTTTAGTAGAGATGGGGTTTCACCATGTTGGCCAGGCTGGTCTTGAACTCCTGGTCTCAAGTGATCCACCTGCCTTGGCCTCCCAAAGTGCTGGGATTACAGGTGTGAGCCACTGCGCCTGGCCGTCCCTTTTTGCTTAACTTAACCAGACTTGCTTTCTGTTGTTTGAAATAAAGGAAACCTATTACAGGATGCAGATAATAAAACAAGCAAGCAAACAAAAAAAATAGCATTAAAAAAATGCCTCTCTTGACCCTACATTCCTTCCCAAGTGACACCTTTCTTCTCCCCTTTATGGCTGTGTTTAAAAGAGGCATCTGCACATGCACCATCTCTGGTTCTCTCCTCCAGCTCATCCCCCAACCCACGCCAGTGGCTTCTGCCTCTGCCACCTCACTGAAGGAGCTTGCTCCAAGTGCCCTGTGTCACCATGATGTCCCAGTTTCCCACTATCTTTTCTGGGTGCTCCTCCATCCTTTGTCACCTGGTGACTCACAAATGGGTCCTAAGCCCTCTCCTCACTCTACTCTTTCCCTGAAGACCTTATCCACCCCTGTGACTTCAGCAACCACCCCATGTCCATGACACCCAGACTTCTGAAAAACTCCGGTCCTTGGCTGGGCATGGTGGTTCACGCCTGTAGTCCCAGCATCTTGGGAGGCAGAGGGGGCGGATCACCTGAGATCAGGAGTTCGAGACCTGGCCAACATGGTGAAACCCCACCTCTAGCAAAAATACAAAAATTAGCTGGGCATGGTGATGGGCACCTGTAATCCCAGCTATTCAAGAGGCTGAGGCAGAAGAATCTCTTGAACCCGGGAGGCGGAGGTTGCAGTGAGTCAAGATCACGCTATTGCACTCTAGCCTGGGTGACAAGAGTGAAATTCCATCTCAAGGAACAAAAACAAACAGAAAAACCCCTCCAATCCTGTAATGTGCAACCCACCTGTCCACGTGGTGCCTCAAACATCCCAGTGTGCCCCCGCTGGACCCCTGAGTGCACCCCACACTCATTCCTCTTCTGTCAGGGTTCAGAGTCTCAGCAAATGGTAGTTGGCCCATGTGGTCCTCAGGCCTGAGCTGCTCTCTACCAAAGCAATCTACACATATCCATCCCTTCCTTCCCCCATGCAGTGCAGCTTGTACCTCCAGGACCTGACCCAGGAGGAGCTCAGTAAATATTTGATCAAGTGACTGATAGCAGCGATAACACTCCACGGGACACGTTCACAAACACCCTCTTCCCCCAGCCCTGTTAGGTAGGTATAATTACTACCACTCTGCAGATGAGGAAACTGATGCCCAGAGAGATGAACAGTTTTGCTTGGGTGTGGGGTTGCACAGCCAGTGAATATGTGGGGGAGTTGAGATTGGAATTTAAGTGTGACTCCCCATGCTGGGTTCTCCCTGGACAGCTGCCACAGCCAGGGGAGCCTCCTTGCCAGGGCATGAATGGAAGAAGGGGGCCAGTTGGACAAGGAGTGATGCCCTGGGGTGAGGGCCAGCCAGCTGTGTTCGCAGGTAGATTGCATGGCAGACATCTCCTGACACCCAGCCCCAAGAAGGCTTCCTTGAAACACACAGTGAGGTTCTTGGTTCTTGAGATGTCCTGGGAGCTGAGAGCCCCAGGTTTGGGGCCTGGATCTGGCACCAACTCTCAGTGTAACCACAAGCAGTCCATCCCTTCTTGGGGCTCAGCTGACTTCACTAAAGAGGGAATATGAGTAAGATGCCTAAGATGTGGAAGCAGAGGTCCTAATTCCTGGACAGGGGCAGAAGTGGGTAGTGGCCTCGGCAAACAAATCCCCTATTTGCCTCCTTTAAGCAGGATCCCCCTACCAGGCAGTGTGTGATGGTGAGGCCCAAGCCTGGGGTCTGACGTCGACACCCCTGTGGGCATTTGGCCAAAGGCAGCCATCTGCCAGAATCTGAGAGCTGCTCTCAGACCTCGCTGGAGAGGGCTACCTGGGGCAGTCTGAGTCTCTCTGGGCAGACTGAGGTCCTTTGCTACCCAAACGGGGAGAATTAGAGATACTGTTGGCTCCTGGGCACTGGAAGGGAGGAACGCAGGCCTCTCAGCACAGGGCTGGGCCAACAAGTTGGGGGTCCCGGCACAGGGGACAACGGAGAAGTGCCAACATTGGGACCCAATTATGTGATACTGGGGCCCAGAGATAGTACAGGTGCCTCATACCACGTGGCCCTGGGTGGACAGCAGGAATCTATTGCGAGTGGCGGGAGGCCGGGGCTGCCTGTCCTGCGCCCTGAAGCTGGCCAGCGGTTGTGGAAACTGGGGGATATTGAGGGAACAGTAGGCCCAGGTCCTCAGCCTCATAGTGTGGAACCTGGCGATCCCAGGGCCTGGGCTGGCCCCCGGCGTCACGGGACCGGGAAGGCGCTGTGGTGCTGCGGGGAATTGCGGAGAAGAAGGCGGGCTCCAGTGGAGGTGGCTCATCCCCGCACGGTCACTGCCCTCGCCCGCTGTTGGGGTCCGCGGCTGGGAGACTGAAGGCCTCAAGTCGGGCTGGGTAGGGGCACGTGGGCAGGGAAAGGGGTGGTAGATTACCAGTCTTCAGGGGCGGGGCTGGAGATGCAACCCTAGGGAAGGAGTCTACCAGGCTGGGCTCTTGAGGGGCAATGGAGGGCTCCGGGGGCCAGGCCAGGCCAGGATCATGGAGTTCAAAGGACTGGAGTGAGGTTTGGGGTCCATGAGAGTGGAGCTCAGAGGATGGGACGGTGGGTCCAGGATTTGGGACCTGGGGCTGGAAAGTCCGAGGCTAGTGGAGACCAGGCCTGGTATCCCAGACGAAAGGGCCCTATAGGAAACGGGGTCTCGTGGGCGGGATCTGGAGCCAGAGAATTGTGAGAGGCGGAGCTAGGATGGAGAAGGCGAGAGGAAAGGGGTAGCCGCCGGCGCGGAGACCTCAATGCGGGGCGTGGTGCGGAGGGGGAACTGGAGCGAGGGGCACTGGAGCGAGGGGGTGGGGCTACGAGGAGGTGGACTTGAGGGGCTGGGTCTGGGGCCGGAGAATCGTGGGGAGCTGCGCCTATACACCCGGGACGGTGGGGTTGCGTCGGGGAAGTGGGAGTCTTGGGGGTTCGCTGGGCAGCCTGGAGAACAGGCGGTCGTGGTGCGGGCGGGGCCGAAAAGACCGAGGACAGTGGGGACCCGGCCTGAGGAGGGGTCGGGAAGGAGGGGTGGGGGCGCGCGGACGCAGATCCCGGGCCGCGGCGGGGCGGTGGCAGGCTCCAGAGTGGCACGGGCCCAGGTGAGCGAGGTCTCCGCCCGCCGCCCCTCCCGCCGCCCCGGTGCCAGCTGCCTCGCTGGCCCCTCCCTGTACCCGGCGCTGGCTCCGCGGGCCGGGCCGACGGCGGCGGGCGGCGTCTCGCGCCCAGGCCAGGTCGGCTCTGGCTCCATCTTGGGCCGCGGCACCTGGCACCTGTGGCGGCCGCAGGAGCAGCGCTTCCCCCGCCTGCGCGGCCCGGCGGGCGAGAGGGTGAGAGGCCGGCTCCGCGCGCTCCCGTTGGGGCGGGGGGCGTGGTGGGCGGCACCTCCCCCTTGCTGAGCCTCAGAACCCACTCCTTCCCGCTGCCTGCGCTCAGACCCCCGGCATCCTGGCCCCTGCCCAGCGCCCAGAGCCCCGGTGGCCGCATCGCACTCCCCGCGCTCCGCCTCTCATTGTCCTGTCCTGTCCCCTCTTCTACGTCTCCTCTGCCCATCCTCCCATTTTCACAAGTCTGTCCGGGACCCTGTCTCCTTCGGCCTCCACCCCTGCTGCCATCGCTCCTCCCTCTCCCCTTCTTCCTTTTCCCCTCCCTCAGCCTACTGCGCCGCCTACCCCGCCCCCAGCCTTGCTGCCCTTTGGCTTCTCCTGTCCCGCATCATTACCCCGGCCCACAGCCCCATTTGCCTGCAGTCGCTGCCTTTGCTCCTGAGAAGGTCTGTAGCCTCGTTTCGGGCCCGTATTGAGCCCCCTTCTCCCTAAGTCCGGGTGGGCTTTGTGCAGGAGGGGCGGGAGGGGAGCTATTCTGGGCGAGGCTGCGTGGTGCGGTGCTTTCAGGCCTTTGGCCCCGCAGCAGGGGCGGCCTGTGCTTGGCGTGCAGAGTGCAGCTGGGTAGATGCTGTTACTGCATACGGGCCTGTGTGTCCCAGGCTGGGGCATGAGTGCTTGTGAGCGTGCAGATAGGGACACACCGGCCGCCTAGGCTGCTTCTAGGCCGGGGCACCCTCTCCACCTAGGTGCCCCCCAGGGATTGTGGGCAAATCCTCCCCAGGGGAGGAAGCTCAGGGGCTGTTGGGCGCCTAGGCCTCTTCCTGGTGAGCAGAGCCTCATCCATGGGGCCACTGACCCCACAGTTACCCCAGAACCCTTTCCTGGCACAGCTTGTGACCCGGGGCATGTAGCCCTTAAGGCACGTTCATTGTGAAGGGCAGGTTTTGTCTCCTCCAAACCCTCCCTTTAGGAATGCTGCCTGCTGCTTTGCCCAGAGTTGGCCCTGAGTGTTCCTATCAGGCCCCGTTCACTCTGGGGTGGATTAAACCACCTCCTGGAGGGTGCTGTATCCCCACTGTGCAATGGGGGTTTGTGCTGTGTGCATTCCTGCCTGGTCCTTGAGAGGTAAGGTCCATATTTTAACATAGAACCAGTTTTCCTGCCTGATCATATAGGTTTGCTTTTCCTGTTTTGGTTTTGCCGGACACATAAGTCATCATCCAAATGCTTGCCACTTAACTAGAGGGGACTTGGGCCAGCGCTGTGGCTCATGCCTGTAATCCCAGCACTTTGGGAGGCCGAGGCAGGTGGATCACCTAAGGTCAGGAGTTCGAGACCAGCCTGGCCAACATGGCGAAAACCCCATCTCTACTAAAAATACAAAAATTAGCTGGGCGCCGAGGTGCACGCCTGTAATCCCAGCTGCCGGGAGACTAAGACAAGAGAATCACGTGAACCCAGGAGGCAGAGGTTGCAGTGAGCCGAGACTGAGCCATTGTACTCGAGCCTGGGAGACAGAGCGAGACTCTGTCTCACAAACAAACGAACGAACAAAACCAAGAGGGGACTTAGATGGATGCCACAGTGTTGTCTGAGATGGAGCCCACTTGTGGTGGTCTTGGTAGTCCCCTGGGCATATCCCAAAGGCCTGGGCTCCTCTGCTGTGGCAGCATGGCGGGAGCTGGACTCTGTACGTTGACTCAAAGGTCTCTATGTTTGGGCTAGTCTGGAAGTGTCTGAGAACTGGGGGCTTTTACTCAAAATGACATTGGTTGATTGCTACATAGGTGGTTGATCTTCCAGTTGCTGACAGGTGGAACCTGAGGCAGCAGGACAGCCTGGCATTGGCCACGGGACATCGGCCACAACCATAGCAACTTCGGCATCAAATGGGGCAGGAGAGAGAACATTAAGGTATCGTTCAAAGAATACTAGAGGTCTTGGATACTTCTGTATGCCTGTTCTTTATCTTGTCCTAAAAGATCTTCCGGGGTCCCTTTAGGGCAAAACCAGAACCTTCTGTGTTGTTATAAAGGCAGGGTGGGTGTGCCATTCTGGGCATTTAAAGTGCAGACTCTAGACTTGTATGCATGCGTAGCCTCCTAGGTTAACATTTAAAATAGGCTCTGGGAAACCTAGTTTGGTGATAGGGAGACTGGGGACACTGATGGTGACCTGGTCCTAGGATGGGATGAAGGTAGCGAGGATGGGAAGCTAGAGGAGGCTAACCTTTGGGGTGTCTTGATGGCTTCTGAAAAGGGCCTCTCTGGCCCCCAGTACTAATACTTGTTATACCATGAACTTAAGCTGCTCTTGATGGGAGGGGAAAGAGAAGATTATTGTTAACAAACACTATTGCAGACAGTGCACATGCTGTCACATTTGGTCTTCACAACAACCCTGCAGGGTGGGGATTTATTTTGTTTTGCAGATTGAAGAAACTGAGGCTCAAAGAAGTTAGGGGTCCACCTGTGAGTACATGCACAGGAAGGGGAAGAGCCCCCATTGGAAGCAGAGCCCTGCCCCTTCCTCCTCACCCCTGGCTCCCTGGGAGGCCCCTCCTCTGGCCCAGTCCACAGCACTGTGACAGGCAGTGTGGAAGCCTCTTTCCCCCAGTACTCCCCTCAGAGCCCTTCCTTCCTTCTGAGCTGGGAAGGCCAGGTTGTAGTTAGCCAGGCCAATCCATTGGGGTTCTGAATTAGCCACTTTCAGCTGTGTGTTCTTTGACATTTCTGAGCTGCTCCAGGCCTCAGTTTTGTCACCTGCCACTTGTGGAGGGGGAATGGGGAAGGGAACCAATAGATACATAGCCCACACGGGGGTCTCTGGGTGATGACTAGCCCTGGGTGCTGGGCAGCCCTCTGGTGAGACAGGCACAGTGGGATGCTCATTGCTCATGGCTTCTCAGTGGGTCTTGGTGGGGGTCTGAGGACCTCATTCCACCTGTCTCCTCAGGGGCCAGAGGCTGCTGGCCTGGCTGTTTATGGCCCCCCTCCCTGGGAGGGTGGTGGGGTTTGGCCAGAGGCTGTGTGGATGTCCAGATGGGGCCTCCCTGGGGTCTTGGACCTGCAACTGAGTGGTTGTCTCCCTGCCAGGGGCTGGCAGTGACCACAGCTGTCCCAGTCAGGAGGAACACCTCCTGCCCTCCTCATTCTTGCAGCCTCAGGAGCTGCTAAGAAGCATGTTGGGCAGGTGGAGATCCACTCAGTGACTTGTTCCATGGCATGTCATGAGCACGATTGGCAGGGCCAGGCCAGATCAGTAAAAAGGGTGAGAGCTGCGAGGCATAGGCCTGCTCAGTGCTCGAAGGGGAGAGGAGCTCAGCTGCCCCACAGGTGTGTGCCCTTGGGGGTCACTGAGCCTCTCTGAGCTTATGGAATTCTCCTGTCTGTAGAATGGAGATAATGACTGTCTCAAGAGGTTGCTTGCACAGTTATATGAGACAATGTATGCAAAGGATGTGGCACGTGTCTGGCCCTTGGCGAGTGATCAGGCCCTGGCAGCTGTTATTATCATCGCTGTTACGGGCTTTATTGCCCTCCTTTGTTTGTATGTCCATCTTAGAGCTCATTGAGGGCAGGGTCTGGGTCAGATTTCTCTCTTGGCTACTCCTCCTCTTCCTGATCCTCCCAGGGACAAGTCTGGCTTCAGCCCCGTGAAGCAGCTGGGATGGGACATCCTTACCAGGCCGGGGCTGTGTTCAGAGCTGCACAGTCCTGTACGGTAGCCATTAGCCTCATGTGGCCAGTTAGATTCAAATAAAACTTAAACATTCAGTGTCTCAGTTGCAGTAGCCCCCTGCTGAGTGCTTGGTACCCACATGCCATTGGTGCCTACCTATTGGACAGCACAGGGTAGAATCTTTCCATCATCGCAGGAAGTTGTGCAGAGCTGGAGTCTCAGGGACTACAGCACCAGTATCATCCTCACTGTGGCTCAGCAGCCACCAGCCATCTCCTGAGTGCTGGGCTGCCAGGACATTTGTAATTACACAGAAACCGAGTCCCACAGCCCTTCCCGAATTTCCTCTCGGGTAGCCTTGCTCACCTGGTCGGGGAGGTTGTTGCCTGGAAGTCTTTATCAGCCTAGGCTGGGAGGGCAGGGCTGGGATTGCCCAAATGCAGCTGCTGCCTCCTGTCCCCACCCTGTTTCTCCCACCTCTCCTGCCTGGCAAGGAGTCCCAGAGTGATCTCCCTAATTCACTGCTGTGGCCAGGGCCGAGGTGGCCCAGACACTTTGACCCCACTGCTCCCCTCATATGCTCTGGACACATGGCCTCTTTCCTCCTGCCCACTCCGCTCTCCACCTGAACACCTTCTTGCTTCTCTCACTCCAGGCCTGACTTACGTGGCTGGTCCTCCAGGAAGCCTTTTCTCATCTCTCACCCTCCGTGAGCTCTCCTGCCTTGGTGGTGCCCTCCCTCAGACCCCATTTTTGGCACTCAGTGCCCTCCTCTGTGGGTGTGTTCTTGTATTTGCTTGTTCTCTTGGTCAGGCACACAGCAGATAATCCTCTGAGTGCCGACGACACATCAGGTCAGTGCTGGGTGTTGGACAGCCAGAGGGGAGCAGGCCACAGGCCAGGCTTTGCCAACTTCAGGCCTGTGGGGAGGCTGACAGTTGGCCAAACTGTTCCATGCAGGCCCAATGCTCAGTCAGGGATGAAGGCTGCCTGGCTGGAGGGTCGGGAAAGGGGCCCCAGGAAGAGATGCAGAAGTGGAAAGGGCCAGAACTGGCTCTAGGCTGCAGCTGCCAGGTCCAGGGTGGTCTTTATGGCTGGGGGAAGTGACAGCGATGGTACGGAGGGTGGGGGACAATGAGGATGCAGGTACACTGGGCAAGAGGGGATTAAATGTCAGGCAGGATAGGTCTGATTGATGGTACTGGGTGGGCATCTTATCTCACTGCTGCACCGTCCCCAGGGGTACAGAAAGGTCTGAATGAATCCCATGTTCCCTAGCCCTACAGCTGGGCACGCAGTAGGGGCTCAGGAGATGCTGTGGAATCAATGACCAGATGCTGAATGAGTCCCTCATGGAAAAAGCTGATGCATGGGGCCTCTCCTTGCCCCTGGAGCTAGAGGTAGGAGTCAGGGAACCCCAGAGACATGCCAGCTCAGCAAGGCTAGGCCAAGGAGGATGGGGGTGGTTGTGGAAGCCCAGGGTGATTCTCAGTGTCCTCTGGTCATTGCTCCCTCGTCCTGTGAACTTTCTCTGAGCTCCCACTCTGTACCAAGGAGACCCTGTCCACAGTGAGTTGGATACTGCCAGTCCCAGGAGGAAGTAGCCCAGTATTGGCCTGTCCAACTGTGCCCGTTAAGAGGCCATAGTGCTTCCGTGCTGGTTGACCAAGAGCTGTTATCCCACAGCCCCACCCCCTAGGGCTGCAGTTTCACCCCCAAAGCCCCAGCAGATTTGGCTCTCTCCCTTCCCCTCCCACACAAACCAGCCAGTAAAGAGTTGAGAGCTGATAGAGTGGCGGCCTCCAGGACCCCACCCTAGGGCAGATTCTAACTGCTTGAGACTGATGATGAGATAATTTGCAGTGTCATCCTTGTGTCTAATGTGAGATGACCTTGATTTGAAGTGTCTGGTGTCTTGTCACTGCCTTGCATATGGTTCTGACCAGTCAGGCAGGCTGGGACTGAAGGTGGCTCCCTGGTGAACCTAGCGCTGTGGGAGTTCATAGTAGAATCGGCTTAGGTGCTGCCACCCAACTCAACTCCACTCCCTCCCTTTCTCTCTTCTGCAGGCAGCCATGAGCTCCAGCCACCCCGAGCCGGGTCCCTGGGCACCCCTGAGCCCCCGCCTTCAGCCCCTGTCCCAGAGCTCTTCCAGCCTGCTGGGTGAAGGCCGGGAACAGAGGCCAGAGCTCCACAAGACTGCCAGCAGCACCATGTGGCAGGCCCAGCTGGGCGAGGCCAGCACCAGACCCCAGGCCCCGGAGGAAGAGGGGAACCCGCCTGAGAGCATGAAGCCAGCACGGGCCTCTGGCCCCAAGGCGCGACCCAGTGCTGGAGGCCACTGGTGGAGCAGCACTGTGGGCAATGTGTCCACCATGGGCGGCGTGACCTGTGTCGCCTGCGGGCCCCTAGTGCTGCTGCTATGCAGAGGAGCCATTCAGACCTGGTCCGTAGCACCCAGATGCGGGGACACAGTGGTGCTCGGAAGGCCAGTCTCAGCTGCTCAGCCCTTGGCAGCAGCCCTGTCCACAGGGCTCAGCTGCAGCCAGGTGGTACTTCTGGCCAGGGTGGCCAGGCCCCTGCAGGCCTGGAAAGGGACCTGGCTCCTGAGGATGAGACTTCTAACTCAGCCTGGATGCTGGGGGCGAGTCAGTTGTCAGTGCCACCACTAGACCTGGGGGACACAACTGCCCACAGCAGCAGTGCCCAGGCTGAGCCCAAAGCTGCTGAACAGCTGGCTACCACCACCTGCCATGCTCTGCCCCCAGCTGCTCTACTCTGTGGCATGAGGGAGGTGAGGGGCTGGTGGCTGCTGCCATGCCCTACCTGCCACAGGGATCCTGGCCTTTCCCAAACTAGTGGCGTCAGTGAGCGAGTCTGGGCTGCAGGCTCAGCATGGGGTGAAGATCCACTGTAGGTTGTCTGGGGGGCTCCCTGGGCATTCCCATTGCTGTGCCCACCTTTGGGGTCCCGCTGGGTTAGTCCCAGAGCCTGGCTCTAGGACCAAAGATGTGTGGACCATGACCTCAGCCAATGACTTGGCCCCTGCAGAGGCATCCCCGCTGTCAGCCCAGGATGCTGGTGTGCAGGCGGCCCCAGTGGCGGCCTGCAAGGCTGTGGCCACCAGTCCGTCCCTGGAAGCGCCTGCAGCCCTGCATGTGTTCCCAGAGGTAACTCTGGGGTCCAGCCTGGAGGAGGCGCCGTCCCCTGTGCGGGATGTGCGATGGGATGCTGAGGGCATGACATGGGAGGTGTACGGAGCTGCGGTGGACCTGGAGGTGCTCGGTGTGGCCATCCAGAAGCACCTGGAGATGCAGTTTGAGCAGCTGCAGCGGGCGCCCGCCAGCGAGGACAGCCTGTCTGTGGAGGGCCGGAGGGGGCCGCTGCGGGCTGTCATGCAGTCCCTGCGGCACCCCAGCTGCTGCGGCTGCTCCGGCGCGGCCCCCGAGTGAGGAGCTGTGGCCCTTGGAGCTGGCCTGGGCCCACTGACTTAGTCCTAGACCTGGGCCAGGGACGGTGGGGGCTCCGTGCCCCCTGGACCCACCGGCAGCTGGGCACATGTCTCACCTGAATATTGGCTGCCTCCAGACCACAGGACTGCAGCCTGGGGCTTCCGGCCCCACACAGCTGGGCTGTTTTCTTAAGGGCTTGATTTCCAAGGGCCACATCTCTGCACCTTCCGGCTCTGAACTTTGAGACAGGGCTTTAGCACTGTGCAGAGGGGAGATCCTGAGTTTTCTTTAAAAAATGACCTTTTGTTCACTCCACCCTCAGAACTCTGCCATGTTGCCTCGTCAGACTCTTGGTGGCTTTATTTGAAATCAGTGCTGAGAAATAGTGAATTCTCGACATGAAATGTGAGGCCCCAGTGACAGGGACTGCCCAGGTCTTTAGGGAAGGGGACTGATGTTATCAGAGGCCTCCTGTGTGCCACATACTGTGCTTGTCCTGTCTTCACCTCTTCATCCTGGCAAGCCTTCATTTGGCAAGGCTGTAGCCGATGTGCCCCACGCTGGACAGCTTGAAGAGGTGGGACTGAGATCCAAAGCCAGGGCCAGCTGAGCCGAGGGTGTTGCCCTGTAGCATGTGCCCGGTCCAGTCAGTGCAGTCATGTATGAGGAGAATTTACTGAGCTCATACTCTGTGCTGGGTTCTGTGGATTCTGTGGTGAATGAGACAGAGGCTGCCCCTGCCCTGGCTGAGCTCATGGTGTGGGTTGGGGATGGCAGGGGAGGATGCTGACCATTACGGAGGGCTGCCAGGCTTCCAGGGTCATTGTGTCAGAGGCTGGCCTGAGGAAGGGGAGAATGGGTGGCCACCTGCCCTAATCTCAGTTACAAAGCCTAAAATTGCACTATTTTCACCTCATTCTGTCGGCTGAAGGATTTCTCCCCAGCTGGTGCAGTTTGTGGAAGGAGGGAGGGCAGGAATGGAGGGGGACAGGGCAGGAGTTTGCCCTGGCCCTGGGGTAGGGGCTGTGAGGCTGTGGGGCTCGCTTGCCCACATGACCTGACCTAGGCTAGGCAGTGGGGGCCAGGGGCCTTGGAGAGACAGAAACATGGGGGTTTGGCACAGTCTGACTTCATTGCCCAAAGATTTCTCGAGGCCTGTGAAGAATGGGAGTGGGCTTGTGTTCTTGTCCTGGGTCTTTGTCTTGAAGATCCTAAGATCCCGTGACACAGCCCCCCAATCCACCCGTGTGAGGGACCAGAGGGCTAGTGTGGGGTCATGGCCCACGACCTGGCCTGTTTCTGGAGCCTCTTCTGCACCTAGGAGCCCAGGACCCCCACAGTGGTGGCTTACTTTTCCCCATCCTCAAGGACCTGGTACTCATTGAGGTGGAAATGACTCATGCAACAGTTGGTGAATTTGTAAAGCAGGAGTGGCATTTCAACAGGCCACAAGGACAAAGTGACAAAGGCGTGCGTCAGGTCAGATGCCTCCTGAAGCCCAACGATGGACCATTCTCACCCGTAAACATGCCTTTCCCATATGCATAGGTGCACCCCTTGGGATTCTGGGGCTGTCAGTCCCTTTGTGTATGGTGCCAGGGCAGGCAGCTCACGTTCTGGGGAGTGACACATGGGTATATGCCATCTTCATGCCTGGCTCCCCATGGAGTCTCCAGGAACCCCAGCCTGTTAGGGCACATGAGAGAGAACAAATGGCTGTGGGTGCATGGGGAGGGACCTTTCACACAGGGCCATAGCTAAGTAGGGTCTTGAGGATGCAGGGGTTAGACAGGTGGGTGGAGAGAGGGCAGGACCTGCCCGGCAGATGGAACAGCCTGGTCAGATACTTGGATGTGCCTGTCCTGCCTGGGCCATAATGAGTTTCTGCAGTGGCGGCTCATTTGGAGCGTTTGTTGGGTTGGGAGGTGACCAGGGGTCCCCATTGTGAAGATCCTGATGTAAATGAGGAAAGGAACTTTAAGGGAACTGTGGAAGGGGTTCTGAGGTGGGACCAGATTTCAGTTTAGAAATATCCATTTGGCTTCCAGTGGAGATGTGCCAGGTGACACCAAGGAGGGGCCTGTTTAGGGGCAATGGAGTGGGCAGCTGGGGGCTGGGTTCATACACGTGCACACACACGCATACACAGGCACACATGTGTGCAATGGATTTGGGGAGGAGGCATTTCAGGATGCTGAGGTTTCCAGTTTGAGCAAGAGGAGGGTGAGGCCACTACCTGGGTCAAGGTGAATGGCATGTTCAGCAGGTGCAGAAAGGGCCACATGCCACAGGGTTTGGCTGGGACCAGTGAAACCTACTTCATGAAGAGACTTTCTTCTGTGTCACGTGCAGATTCTTATGCATTCACGCTGGCTGGGTGCCACTCTGTGCTACCTCCATGCTGCCCTGGCTTGCCAGGATGGCAGGCCGGGCTGGGCTCAGCCAAGCTCCCACTCACCTCATCGTCACTGAGATGAGTATTTGCAGAGCGGTGCTGGAATCCAACACCTGTGTCTTGGCTGGGGCCCCAGATGATTCTCCTGGCTAAACCACGATCCTTGTCTCCCTAGCCCAGTTGCACAGCTGCTGCTGACAGGTCTACCTGAAGTGACTGCAGCCTCATTTCTGATTGGAACTGGAGACCCCTCCCAACCCCCCTTGCTGTGCCCTCTCCTGGAACAGCCTGATGCCTGCAGTGGTTTAGGGCCCCAGAGCATGGCCAGCGGTTTAGTTTACAGATCTCCTCCCCTTGGACTCTAGATTTCTGGCCAGACTTTCTGGGTCCCTTTCAGGCCCTGCTCTGGGAGGTGTTGGAGTTCACTGTTGATGTGTTTGTTTGGCTTTGAATTCAAAACAGATACAAATTTGGAGGTGAGAGCTTTGCCAGACCCCAGCAGGGATGGGGCATCGGTCCTGACTGGTCTTGTTTATTTTGTCCTGGTAAATTCTGTTCTTGGAGCATAAACCGTGGAGTCCTAGAGCCCCTTGCTCAGCAGGAATCCCCCCTCTGTCTGCTCCAGGGGCTCCCTGCTTCTGCCCACCTGCTCTCCTTCCATGGCATTCAGGACCCCCGACAGCTGAAGCCTCTCTTCATATAGCTTGTCCCCTCTGGGCCTGCCTGTCTTGTGTCCAGGACACAAGACACGCATCCCTTGTCTGGCCCCAGGCTGCCATCACTGTCACAAGAAACTCATAGAGTAGAGCTGGTCTGAGGTCACAGTGCTGGTGGTGGTGGAAAAGCAGGGATGGCCTGTTCCACTGTGATCTTACCTCCTGTGTCACCTGGATTGGGTCTCTGTCCCCTTAGACATGCTAGATCCTAACTTTACAAGGGCTGAAGGGGTCTTCTACACGCAGGTCCCAACACTTTGGGCTGGGGTTGGCCACCGTAGCTTAGTGGGCTAAAGCTGGAGTTTGAATCTGGATATATAGGATCCACACCTATAGCCATGTGATCTTGGGCAAGTTACAAGCCTTGATCATCTTCCTCATCTGTAAGATGGGGATGACAATGGTGCCTCCTTCACATGCTTGGTGTGGAGATTAAATAGAATAACCCAAGTAGTGCCTGGCACTGAGTTAGTGCTCAGCACACAGGCTGGTAGTGTTGGGCACCCCTCTCATAGCCACATTCAGGGGCCACCTCTTACCCTGCCAGCTTGGCTGTGATCACAGCCCACATCCCACTTCCTTAAAAGTCCCTTGTTCAGAGCCTCTTTCCAGGTTCCTCGCCCCACAGCTTTGCACCCTGCCTGGGACTTGGCCCTCTGGCTGGGGCTTCTGAAAATGTAGTTCCCAGAGTGCATGAGGAGGGCTACCCTAGCCCTCACCACTCATCTTGGGCTGGGTTCCCCAGAAGCTTCTGCTGAGATGAGGATGCTGGAGTTATTAGGGAGGGGAGAGCAAGTTAAGGGAGGGACAGAAGGCAAGGCAGGGTGTGATTTCAGTCCAAGTCAGACCCTAAAGGGGAGCCCTGGATGCAGTCCCACCTCAGAGTAAGGACTACCCAGGGGTGAAGATGTAGCCTCCAGGCACTTCTGCTCTCTGGCAGGCAGGCTAGGAAGCTCTAGGAGCCCCAGGGTAGGTTTCTGCTGGAGTTGTAGGGCCTATTTTGGGGGAAGTTGTGCACAGAAACCACCAGAGGGAGTCACAGGCATCTGGGGGTGCACCCATTGACATTTGCATCCATGTCATGCCAAGCTTGTAGCCCACAAATGCCCAACCCTTTTCTCCATGCATTGCTCTGTCTCAGTTTTGTTCACGCCAAGCAGCCTTGGTTAGTTAAATGCAGAGCTTGGCATTTGCCCATGTTAAATTCCTTCTCCTTTTTCATTCTGGCCTGGCCTGGTTTTGCCATCTGAAGCTATGACAAGTCCTTTATCAGTTTTCATCCAACTTGTCAGGCAGGGCAGGGCTGGTATGAAGCCCAGGACATATCACTGGGACATCCCATAGGTCTGTGAGATTCCCAGGTCCCTCCAAATCCACACGGTCATCATGGGCAAATTAGTTTAAGTCTGATCTGTTAAGATCCAGATCTCTCACACCAACAGCACACACCCCTTTTTCCCATGGCCATGGAAGGAGGGTAGCATAGCCTGACTCGAGTCCTCGTTCTCAGCAGAACTGGTTCTGTGGTGGCCACTTCCCTTTCTCAACTTTTACCTACTTCTGTTTAATAGGTTGTTCTGCAAGTCTGAGAGCAACAGCAAGCTTAGAAGTGTGGACTCAGCCTGGTACAGTGGCTCATGCCTGTAATCCCAGCACTTTGGGAGGCTGAGGTGGGCTGACTGCTTGAGCTCAGGAGTTCGAAACCAGCTTGGGCAGCATGGAGAAATCCCATCTCTACAAAAAATACAAAAATTAGCTGGGCGTGGTGGTGTGCATCTGTAGCCTCAGCTACTCAGGGGGTTGAGGTGGGAAGATGGCTTGAGCCCAGGAGGTGGAGGTTGCAGTGAGCCGAGATAGTGCCACTGTGCTCCAGCCTGGATGACGGAGCCAGACCCTGTTTCAAAAAAAGAAAAAGACAAGAAAGAAGTATGGACTCTACCTTCTTGCCCTTGTGGAGATTGGGAACTGCCTGCCCTTGGCCTCTTTCCTGTCCATCTTGTATTATGAAAGGCTGTTTCTGGCACACCCGGGCTCCTCTGTGTGGTTTCTGGGAAGTGACTGAGGGTCAGGGGAATGGAGCCCCTCTGCAGCCGGCCGCTGGTACCTTCCCTATTGAACCCTTCTTTAGGTTTGCTCACTCTTTTTGATGGGTGTCTTTCCAAAGCTGGCTGGGGACCTCCCTGATTGAGAGACATGGGGCTAGTTCTGTTGCTGTGGCTACACGGGAATAATAAAGCAGAAGAACACCTGAGGAAAGCTGATGTTTACTAAAAAAAAAAAAACAAGCGAAACCAAAGTGACGTGGGCCATAGGATTGGGGATGGGTGGTGGGGTCTGACTGCCTTGTCCCAAGAGTTGGGTGAATGCCGCCTTTGCTCACTTGTGCGGTCACTCTCCAGGACTCCTGCCTGGCTTCTCCCACTCCAAGCCCGAGATAGCCCAGCAAGGAGGAAGGTCTGGCCCCAAAATACGAGCTCCCCAAGTGGATATCCTAAAATTCATCTTTCATGGCCCTACTTTATTGGGAGGGAATGTGAAAATTGTGGGAATATGTCCATTGACATCTGGGGCTCAGGGCAGGGGAGTGTGTCTAGTTTTAAGGTGTGCGCTTTTAGCCATGCAGTCATCGCCCAGTCTGTCCTGCCTGGAGCTTTTCATTTCCCTGCAGCTTTCCTGAGAAAAGACAGAGTGTGCTTTCTCTGCATCCTATGAACATGGCCCCAGGACTGCAGCACCTCTGTGTGCACACAGCCAAGGACAGTCGGGGGACCTCTGCTGGTCCTGCACCCGCTGCCCTGGGTGCTCTGTCATCCCCATCCCCCATTTCTCTTTAATCTGTTCTTCTTTTGTGGTTTCATGTTCTCTTTGTTCTGGGTTATTCAGAACCTGTCTGCCTCCCCACTGTCCATTGTACTTGTTCCTGCCTCCTCCTGCTTTGTGCCAAGGATTTACTTGCCTTCGCCTTCTGGCTCCATACAGTAGTCTCTCTTCTTGCGGTCTTGGCCATTCCCCCCACCAGGCCCCCAGCTGTGGCTGTGTCTGGGTCTTGGCATTTGTGATTACATGGGTCTAGGCCCTTTCTCTCCACCTGTCCTTCCCCTCTTTGGACACAAACCAAAACATCTGAGCATCTCCTTACAGAGGGAGGTCTCCCTGGGGTTGCTGTGCCAAGTTTCCATTGCTTTTGCCCAGAATGAGAAATCAGTTGTCAGTGGCCCTGCTGGGTGAATGGAAGGACTTTGGTCGGGCTGGAAGGGCACCCCATCAGTCCTAACTTTTGGTGGCCCTTGTTGGTGGCTGGCTGGCTAGGCTGCTAGAGAGGTACATCAGGTGGGTGGCACCCATCTGCTGGCTTTAGGCAGGCCATCTCCTCATCCATGTTTTCAGAATCTTCTTGCATGGCTTGTAATTGGGTTGGGGTGTGGCCTGAGCCCCTGTGGGGACACACTGCACTGTCCCACCTGTATGCTTCTCTGCTGTCAGGAACTGGATTCGTGTCCAAGAGCCAAGGCTAGGGACTGGAGGAGGAGATTTCTGTCTTTGACCCCTCCATATTAGTCCATTTTCATGCTGCTATAAAGAACTGCCTGAGACTGGGTAATTTATAAAGGAAAGAGGTTTAATTGACTCACAGTTCCACGTGGCCCGGGGAGCCTCAGGAAACTTACAGGAAGCCTCAGGAAACTTACAATCATGGCAGACAGCGAAGGAGAAGCAAGGCACCTTCTTCACAAGGCAGCAGGAAGGAAATGAATGCAGAAGGAACTACCAAACACTTATAAAACCATCAGATCTCGTGAGAACTTACTATCACAAGAACAGCATGGGGGAACCGCCCCCACGATTCCATCACCTCCACCTGATCTCTCCCTTGTCACATGGGGATTATAGGGATTACAATTCAAGATGAGATTTTGGGTGGGGACACAGCCAAAGCATATCACCCTCCCAGGCCTGAGCAAGGCCCAAGCAGGGAGCCTCTGTTGGGGCTGGAACCCTGGGAGGGATAGAATTCTCCCCTCCACTCAGATTTGTTCCCTGTTGCTGCCCACCTGGCCCCTGCCCTGCAGCCTTCTGCCTGGCCTTCTCTCTGTTCACTTCTCATTTTTAGCAGTCAACAGACTGGGAGATGGTGGCCAAGGGTGTCATTTTGTACACAAGCTTTGTGGCTTTTGTAAGCCCAGCCTGCAACTCTTGAGGAAAACTCTTTGGTTTGATTTTTTTTCTCTTCAGAGTTGGGGGTATTCAGGGAGAGGGGCAAGGGCTTCTTGTGAAGATTTCAATTCTTGAAGGGTGGAAGCCTCCTGGGCTGGGGGAAGGGGTGGGGCAGGAACCAGCAGGGGTGTGGACACAGGGGGCTGGCACCTGGGATACCGTAGGACAGCTGGGCAGGAAGTCGGATGCTGCTTTATTGAAATTTTTGATATTTTATCATTTTTTCATTAGTTTTTATTTTAAAACACTGCTTTAAAATAATTAAAATATGATTTATCTTGGTTACCGAATCACTTAGTGTTGCCTTAAATTTTGCGCCTAGTCCCTGCCTGACCTTTCCTCCTCCTCTCCCAGGGCTTTAGGTACTCTTAGTCCCTGTGTCATAGGGACTGGGAGCAGATAGGCCCCTCCGCCCACCCCACCCCTCCCCCACCCCTCGCCCACCCCTCCCCCACCCCTCCGCGTTCCTACTCTAATCTCCTACCCTGATCTGCGGTGCAGGGCGGCGCTGGAGAGGGTGGCTTGCGGCTGATCCCGCGGTCTGGTTTGCGGCTAGGTGTGTGTCCCCGGACTGGCGTGGGTCCCGGGCCAGGCGTGGTCCTGGGCGGCGCGGCCCGTGACAGGACCCGACGCCTCCTGGTGGGCATTTCGCTCCAAGCCGGGACCCTCGGAGCCTGAGGGGATTCGGGAGGGAGGAGTCGCCGTGGGGCGGGGCGGGGAGGGGCGGGGCGGGGGAGGGCTCCCAAGGCCCCGAGGACAGTCCCACCCTCACCGACAGGACCGTCCCTGCGCATCCCCCACCCTTCTTCATCTTCGGGCGCTCGGGCCAACCTGGACAGCAGGGCGGAAGCTTCCAGAAAGGACAGAGATGGAGAAGGTGGGAAGGGTGGGGCTCAGGCAGGGGACACCACGGCCTTAGGAATGGAAGACAGGCCCCACTTACCTCTTCGACTCCAGATGCAGCTCATCCTCACGAGGGGCTGGATGAAGAGGCTTCCTCTCTTTCCCCCCTAAGCTGTGCCTCTGAGCCTCTGTGCAAATATGGTGGTGCAAACCTTTGGTCTGCCTTCATCATTTTGTTGTTGTTGTTGTTGTTGAGACGGAGTCTTGCAGGCTGGAGTGCAAGTGGCACAATCTCGCTCACTGCAACCTCAGCCTCTGGGTTCAAGCGATTCTCCTGCCTCAGCTTCAGCCTCCCGAGTAGCTAGGACTACAGGTGCGCACCACCAGGCCTGGCTAATTTTGTATTTTTAGTAGAGATGGAGTTTAACCATGTTGGCCAGGCAGCTCTTGAACTCCTGGCCTCAAGTGATCCACCCTAATAAACTTGCTTTCCCTTTACTCTGTTGGCTGGCTCTTGAATTCCTTCCTGGGTGAAGCCAAGAACCGACGTAGCCTCCCAGGCTGAACCTCAGTTTGGGGCTTTACCCCATGACACCCGCAAAGGGCTGGGCTTCCCTTCTTCTTGGGGAGGGGGTCAAGGAAGTGGCTGTATCTTGAACACCCATTCCTCTTTCCTTCCATGCGCACAAGGCCTCTCTGAGCTGCTGTCTTCCTTAGGACACTTTCAGCTACAAGTAAGTTAATTTTGAACTGAAAGTTAGCTAAACAATTATTATAGAATGTTCACCTTCCCACTGAAGAATTTAGGAGGTAACTGGCTTCTGGGTGGGCTGTGTGGCTCAGTGTGGACATGGATTCAGGTTCTTTCCATATTTGTGCTGTGCCATCTTTAGAGCGTAGTGAAGGCTGTCCTTAGCCCCACGATGGCTGCTGCATTTCAACTCTGGAATTCAGTTGCTGGATTCACACTCCAGTCTGTGTGACTCCAGGGCGGTCATTTTGTTTGTCTTTTCAAAAATGAAAGTAATACGTACTTATGATAAGAATTTAAAACAGTACAGACCTCG
The DNA here is from genome assembly GCF_000001405.40 of Homo sapiens. Classification (NCBI taxonomy): domain Eukaryota; kingdom Metazoa; phylum Chordata; class Mammalia; order Primates; family Hominidae; genus Homo; species Homo sapiens. The sequence continues at coordinate 62,485 of NW_021160001.1, forward strand.
GCCTTTTGTTTTATTCACGATAGGAATTTCAAATACTGTGTAAACTGAAGGTCTGATCCTCGCCCTTGTCTGGAATTCCCGCAGATTACCACTGAAGATGTTAATAATTTCCATGGGCCTTCCACAAACTTCCTTGGTAATCACAAGCTCAGACCTCTGAATATTCCATACAAGTGAGATCCCACTTAGATACTATTCTGTATTAATTCTTTAAGATAGGCCAGGCATGGTGGCTCATGCGTGTAATTCCAGCACTTTGGGAGGCTGAGGTGGGAGGATCACCTGAGGTCAAGAGTTCCAGACTAGCCAGGCCAACATGGTGAAATCCTGTCTCTACTAAAGATACAAAAATTAGCTGGGCGTGGTGGCGGGTGCCTGTAATCCCAGCTACAGTCAGGAGAATCGCTTGAACCCAGGAGGTGGTGGTTGCAATGAGCTGAGATTGTGCCGCTGCACTCCAGCCTGGGCAACAGAGCGAGACTCTGCCAAAAAAAGAAAAAAAAAATTAAGATATGTCTTGTAGATAATACTGCCACATATAACAATATTTTCTTTATTTTCTTCCTGGGCATATTGTATGGCATAGTATACAAGTGCCTTTTAAAATTAAACCAGACTTCTTTTTCTGGACTTTATGTTACACCTCACATTTTTTTTAACTTAATAGATTTATTTCTTAGATGAGATTTAATTAAGAGAAAAAGTATGCAGAAAATACAGAGTTCCCCTACACTTTCTCACTCTCATACACTTTCTCCTATTATGAGCTTGCATAGTGTACAACATGGTACATTTGTTACAATTAATGCACCAATATTGATGCATTACTGTTTCCTAAAGTTCATGGTTTAAAGTTTACTCTTTGTGTTGGACACTTCTCTGGATTTTGAAAATCCATGTGGTGTATCTCCCACTCCAGTAGCATACAGAATAGTTGGACCACCTAAAAATCCCCTGTGCTCCGTCCATTCACCCCTCTTACCTTCCCCAGGACTCCTGGCAACCACTGATCTTTTTACTGTCTCTATAGTTTTCCTGAATGTCACAGAGTTGGCTTCATGTAGCATGTAGCCTTTTCAGACAGGCTTCTTTCACCTAGCAATATGGATTTAAGCTTCCTCCATGTATTTTCATAGCTTGAGAACTCATTTCTTTTTAGTGCTGAAAAATGTTCTGTTGTCTGGGCATACTGCCATTTATTCATCTACCAAAGGGCATCTTGGTTGCTTTCAGGTTTTGACTATTATGAATAAAACTACTATAAATATTCATGTGCAGGTTTTGATGTGGACATATGTTTACTTCAGTTGGTTAAATACGCAGGGCAACATTGCTGTAAGACTATGTTTAGCTTCATAAGAAACTGCCAAACTATCTCTGTACAATTTCGTATTCCTACTAGCAATGAATGAGAGTTCCTTTTTCTCATATAAAAATAAATATCCTTGTATGTATAGTTTTATGTTCAGGTGTGAGTATATCTGTAGGATAAATTTTTCATCAAGTGGTACATGTAAAATATCTACCGGTATTGGCAAATTGCTCCCCAGAAAGATTGCACCAATAATACATGAAAACGCATATTTTCTCATACCCACGCCAATATTTGATTGTTAATCGAACTTTAATATTTTGGCTAATTTGATAAGTGAAGGAACAATGTCTTCCTAGTTATTGTGATTTGCAATCTGTTCCCTGTGAGTGAGGTTGTGTTCTGCCGGACTGCGTGAGTGAGAATTCCTGTTCTGGCACTCTCAAGCTGTGTGATGCTGGGAAAGTTGCTGAACCTCCCTGGACCTCAGTTTCTTCATCTATAGAATGAGGATGGTAATGGGTCTTTACCTTATTAATTGGATTGGAGGATTTAATGGCATCATTCATGTAAAGTGCCAGCACAGTTCCTGGCTCAAAATAAGGGCCAAGTAAATGTAAGCTATTATTATTCTCCAATATGTTCATAAGCACTTGAATTTCTTCATTTCTGATCTGCCTATGTTCATATCAATTTCCCAGGATTTTTTCTTATTGATTGGTTAGAGCTCTTTGTATATTAATAACATACGTTTATTTTTTTCATATAAGTTACAAGTATTTTTTTATTCCAGTGTTTCACTTGTCTTCTGTTTATCAGATCCTGGCTCCAAACCAGTGCAACATCCTTCTCAGGGACACAGCATTTTAAATCTTACAAAGCCCCTCATTTCCCATCTGTCATTTATGTCTCAGGACATCCACATGAGGCAAGCTGATGTATTTTTCAGTAAAGAAGGAGACTTTATTGACCAGGCAGGGCGAGTGACTTGCCTAAGGGCACAGAAGGAATTAGTGGTTTGTACAGACTGAAATGGAGGGTCCTGGCCCCTAGGTACCACCTCCTCCACTCTTAAAGAAGGGGAGAGGGAATCTGGAGGTGCAGGAAGGAAAAGGTCAAGGTCATCATGACAGACAGCCTCACCCCATCCCCTCTCAGAACCCAAGAGCCTGGGTCCTTTTTTTTCTGTTAAGTTCTGACCATTCTCTCCTGATAAATCAAGGGAAGAATGCGAGTAAAGGGTATGTGTTACTCGGGCGAGACTCCCTGCTTGGAAGGTCTAGGAGGGGAGGTATGTGTGTGAGTGTGTGTGTGTGTGTGTGTGTGTGTGTGTGTGTGTGCATTCTTTCTGTCAAGTTGCCCAGCAGGTGAGCTGAAAGCTGGCTCTCTTAACTTGGGGATGAGCAATAGAGTCAGGTCTCGGTTCGTCATTTTCCAATTTCATCAGCTTTGAAAATATTTTAATAATAAAATCCAAGCATTTGATTTTCCTGACTAGTTGTTTATTCTGATTTATTGGCTATGCATGGTGCCTGAAGCTCCTCCAAACTCCCAAGGGTATCCCTGCATGTCTCAGGATGTCTCTTAACCCAGTGCCATGTGAGGGACAGAACCTAGACCAGGCATTCAGAGCCAGGTACCATTGTGCCTACCCTACTCACTGCTAGATGATGCTAGTGAGGTGCTCACACCTCTCTGGGCTTAGTCCCTCCATTGTAAGGCAAATGGGAGGCCTGCTGCCTCTGCCTTGCTGGGTTGTTGGTATGGCTGAAATGAGGGGATGAAGGTGATGTGGAAAACTTGATAGGAGAGTGGCTGCCGTGTGTCCATTCTGGTCTCCTTTGTCTCATGTCAAGCCCAGGGACTGGTTCTTTTTCTCTCTTCGGGTCTGTGACTTCTGGGAATCCTGCTTGCCTCAGTGCCCCCTGGTGAGGTGGTGCCATATAGGTTGCTTTAGCACATCACCGAGAGGGACTCTCCAAACCCTATGCTAAGTGTTCACCGCCAGAACACTTGCATTTGGGCCAGACCGGGCTAGGGTACCTAACCATAGCTTCCTGGGTTCATTTCACAGGGTGGACAGCAACTGAGAGATGTCCAGGGAAATTTCCCTTTTTAAGAGATAGGGGTTCTGGGGCCCATAAGGGCAGGAAGTATCCCCAACCACAGGCAAGTTCATGAAGCCCATAGGGAGTAGGATGGAGCCAGTTGCCAGGAGCAGGGAAAGGTTCATGTCTTTGCTCCTCCATGTACCCAGGGACTCAGCACCACCTGCAAGTTGATGGAAAGGCAGAATCTCAGCACACTCTGAGCCCCTGAATCAGAGTCTGCATTTTAACAGAACCCCTAGGTGAGGCAGAAGCCCACTACTCCAGTATCATTCATTCATTCACTCACCTAGCAAACATGCCTGAGGCCGACTCTGTGCCGTGCCCTGTGCTGACGAAGACCGGCCAAAAGACCTTGTTCTGGTCTTCCTGAAGCTCAGGTGGAGCAGACACCCCAACGGCCAACAAATGTGAAGATTGAGAACTGTGATGGGAGCCTGAGGTGGGAGCAGCTAAGCTTCCCTGGGGAATTGGGGGTCAGGGAAGTAGTCCCAAGAGGCTGAGTACCTCCTGTGTGGCAGGGGCAGGGTGGCCTTTGCTCCCTAGTATCTTTTTTTTTTTTGAGATGGAGTCTCACTCTGTTGCCCAGGCTGGAGTGTAGTGGCGCTACCTTGGCTCACTGCAACCTCCGCCTCCCAGGTTCAAGTGATTATTCTGCCTCAGCCTCCCAAGTAGCTGAGATTACAGGTGCCCGCCACCATGCGTGGCTAATTTTTGTATTTTTGCTAGAGACGAAGTTTCGCCACATTGGCCAGGCTGGTCTTGAACTCCTAACCTCAGGTGATCCACCCACCTTGTCCTCCCAAAGTGTTGGGATTACAGGCTTGAGTGACTGCGCCCGGCCTGTGCTCCAGTATCAAAACCTGCAAGCACCTACAGAGTGGAGGGTGCTATGGTCAGGGTGGTGCTCAGGTCCAGACTGATGGAGGAACCTGAGCAGGGGCGGGGAGGCATTTCAGGAAGAGGGAGCAGTTGCTCCTGCACAATTTTGTTGCATCGGGCCAAGCAGGAAGGCTGGAGAGGTGAGGAAGAGCCCCGGGGGAAAGCATGGACCATCAGGGAAAAGTCAGACATTGCCCTGTTGCTAAAGGCACTCCTGGATGGGTTTTAGCCCGGGGAGACCAGAATCAAATTAGGGTGCATAGAAAGACCATGATATCCCCTTGATGGGGAGGAGAAAGAGGAGAAACAGGAGGACTAGGAGGGAAAGCCGAGGCGATTTGACTCAGCATGAGTGAGATGTGGGGCAGGGAGAGAGAGAGAGAGAAAGACACAAAGAGAGAGACAAGGAGAGACAAAGGGGAGAGAGAGAGGAGAGAGAGAGAGAGAACAGAGAGACAGAGGAGAGAAAGAGACAGAGGAGAGAGAGAGGGGAACAGAAGAAAGAGAGGCAGAGAGACAGTGAAGAGAGAGAAAGAGAGAGAGATTGAGAAAGAAACTTTGCATCCGCAGGCCTGGGCCCCATGCAGCACTGACAGTGGTAGGCAGCCGACGTGAAGCAGGAGGCACAGGCAGGGAGGATGGACACAGCACCTCCCACAGCTTCTGAGTCCTTGGTGCAGAATGTTTATGGCACTTTTCTTCGTTCTTTCTTAAGACTTATTTAGTACTCATCTTTTCTCCTTTACTCCATTGTGAGCTTCCCAATGATAGGGGCACTGTCTCTCTCATGTCTGTCTTCCCACATTGCTTATATCTAGGATGGGAAATGCAAGGCTCCCAGGCAATGCTTAGTTAAAGGGGCAAAGGGCTGTGGTCTTGTCTTAAGTCTCTGCCAGGCTGAATGCCTAGAACTTGGCCCTCAGGAGGGCCTGAGTCACTGTGGGACACAGACTTTTAAAAGGTGAAACAGCCACCAGCCAGGGGTGAGGAACTAACAGCAGACACATTGCCTGATTTTAAGATGTACTATAAAGCTACAGTAATCAACTAAGTGTGGTATTGGTAAAGAATAGACATAGATCAATGGAACAGAATAGAAAATTCGGAAGCAGATCCACACATGCACAGCCAATTGATTTTCAACAAAGATGCAAAAGCAATTCAATGAAGATAATCTTGCTAACAAATGGTGCTAGAAAAATAGAATACCCATATGCAAACAACTTATTTATTTATTTATTTATTTATTTATTTATTTATTTATTTATTTATTTTCAGGCATGTCTTGTTCTGTTGCCCAGACTGGAGTGCAGTGGCGCAATCTCTGCTCACTGCAACCTCCGCCTCCCAGGTTCAAGCAATTCTCCTGCCTCAGCCTCCCAAGTAGCTGGGATTATAGGCGTGCACCACCACGCCTGGCTAATTTTTGTATTTTTAGTAGAGACAGGATTACACCATGTTGGCCAGGCTGGTCTCAAACTCTTGACCTCAAGTGATCCGCCCACCTTGGCCTCCCAAAGCGCTGAGATTACAGGCATGAGCTACCACGCCCAGCCTATTTATTTGTTTTCTTTGTATAAATTTAGGGGGTCCAAGTGCACTTTTGGTACATGGATGTATTGCATAGTGTGAAGTCTTGGCTTTTAGGGTGGCCATGACCCGAACAGAGTGCACTGAACCCTGTAAGTAACTTCTCATCCCTCGCCCTGCTCCCACCCTGCTGCCCTTCTGAGTCTCCACTGTCTATTATGCCATGCCGTATGTCCATGTACACACGTTATTTAGCTCTCACTTGTAAGTGAGGACAAGCAGTATTTGACTTTCTGCTTCTGAGTTATTGCCTTAAGGTAATGGCCTCCAGTTGCATCCATGTTGGTGCAAAAGCCATTATTTCATTCTTTCTTATGGCTGAATAGTATTCCACGGTGTATGTGTACACACACACACACATCTATAAAATATATTTTCTTTACTTAATCATCTGTCATATACAAAAAAGATTTATCTTGATTCATACTTCGCAGCATATATAAAAATGAACCCAAAATGGATCACAGGCCTAAATGTAAAATTGAAAACTAACAGATACAAACAAAGAAGAAAATGTGTGACCAGGGTTGGGCAAATATCTCTTAGATGTGACACAAAAGCATGGCCTACAAGAGAAAAGTGAATAAACTGGCTATCTTTTTTTTTTAATTATTATTATACTTTAAGTTCTAGGGTACATGAGCACAATGTGCAGGTTAGTTACATATGTATACATGTGCCATGTTGATGTGCTGCACCCATTAACTCGTCATTTACATTAGATATATCTCCTAATGCTATCCCTCCCCCACCTCATCCCACAACAGGCCCTGGTGTGTGACGTCCCCCTTCCTGTGTCCAAGTGTTCTCATTGTTCAGTTCCCACCTACGAGTGAGAACATGCGATGTTTGGTTTTTTGTCCTTGCGATTGTTTGCTGAGAATGATGCTTTCCAGCTTCATCCATGTCCCTACAAAGGACATGAACTCATCATTTTTTATGGCTGCATAGCATTCCATGGTGTATATGTGCCACATTTTCTTAATCCAGTCTATCATTGTTGGACATTTGGGTTGGTTCCAAGTCTTTGCTATTGTGAGTAGTGCCGCAGTAAACATACGTGTGCATGTGTCTTTATAGCAGCATGATTTCTAATTCTTTGGGTATATAGCCAGTAATGGGATGGCTGGGTCAAATGGTAATTCTAGTTCTAGATCCCTGAGGAATCACCACACTGTCTTCCACAATGGTTGAACCAGTTTACAGTCCCACCAACAGTGTAAAAGTGTTCCTATTTCTCCACAACCTCTCCAGCACCTGTTGTTTCCTGACTTTTTAATGATCGCCATTCTAACTGGTGTGGTGGTTTTGATTTGCATTTCTCTGATGGCCAGTGATGATGAGCATTTTTTCATGTGTCTGTTGGCTGCATAAATGTCTTTTTTTGAGAAGTGTCTGTTCATATCCTTTGCCCACTTTTTGATGGGGTTGTTTTTTTCTTGTAAATTTGTTTGAGTTCTTTATAGATTCTGGATATTAGCCCTTTGTCAGATGAGTAGATTGCAAAAATTTTCTCCCATTCTGTAGGTTTAAACTGGCTGTCTTTAAAATTAGAAACTTCTAAGCTGGGCACAGTGGCTTACGCCTGTAATTCCAGCACTTGGGGAGGCCAAGGCAGGAGGATTGCTTGAGCCCAGGAGTTTGAGACCAGCCTAGGCAACATAGAGAGACCCTGTCCTTATAAAAATAAAAAATAAAAAAATTAACCTTGTGTGGTGGCATGTGCTTGCAGTCCTAGCAACGTAGGTGGCTGAGGCAGGAGGCTGAGGTGGGAGGATCACTTGAGTCCAAGAGGTCAAGGCTGCAGTGAGCCATGATTGTGCCACTGTACTCCAGCCTGGGCAACTGACCAAGACCCTGTCTGAAAAACAAAATCCAAAACTTCTACTATTTGAAAGACACAGTTAAGGAAATGAAAAGACAAACCATAGAGTGGAAGAAAATATTTTCAAAACACATATCTGATAAATAACTTGTATTAAGGATATATGAAGATCTCTCAAAACTTAACAATAAGAAAACAAGCAACCCAATTTAAAAATGGGAAAATATTTGAACCGATGCTTCATCAAAGGAGGTATATGACTGGCCAATAGTTATGTGAAAAAATGCCCAACATGCTTAGTTATCAGGGAAATGCAAATTAAAACCATAAGATCAGACCAATGCATACAAAATGGAGTGGCTTAAAAAAACCCTAACAGTACCAACTGCCTTGAGGGTTCTCAGTACCAACTAAGAACTCTTGTACACTGCTGGTAGGAATACAAGATGGGATCACCACTTTGTCAAACTCTGTGGAAGCTTCTTATAAAGTCAAACAAATATTTACCACATGACTTACCAAACATACTGCTAGGTACTTACCCAAGAGAAGTGAAAAATTATGTTTGCACACAAGCCTATCCACCAATGTTTACAGTAGCTTTATTTATTATCACCGAAACCTGTAAACAACCCCAAAGCCCTTGAACAAACTCTGGTATATTTATGTAATAGAATGCTTATCAATAAAAAACAATGAACTAATTATATATATATATATATATATATATATATATATATGTATATATGATGGATAAATCTCAAATGCATTCTGCTACGTGAAAGAAGCCAGACTCAACAGCTGCGTACCTGAATTATTCCATCTGTGTGAATTCTGGAAAAGGGAAAACTATTGGGATAGGAAATAAAGGAGAGCTTGCCAAGGGCTGGAGAGTAAGGGAAAGGCTGACTACAAAGAGGCTCAGATGGATTTGGGGAGTGAAAGTGTCCATATTTTTACTGTGATGGTAACATGGTTGCGTTTGTCAAAACTCATAGAATTGTACACTAAAAAGAGTAAATTTTATCATACACTTATATCTTAATATACTTTTCAGAAAGCAAAGTATGTAATTATACAGATCAACAGGAAGAACAAATAAAACCATACAATACTCACACCTGCAACATAACTAGAAGACACAGAACACTATAATCTTCCAATTACCAAGAGAATAAAAATAAGCAACCATTACCAGTGGAGCTCTTTCTGAAGTTTCTGCCCCAAACCTTGTCACCGAGTAAGGCAGAGCCTGGATAAAACTGCATGGGAGGTGCATGGATCACCTGAGGTCAGGAGTTGGAGACTAGCCTCGACAACATGGAGAAACCCCGTCTCTGCTAAAAATACAAAAAATAGTCAGGCGTCGTAGCGCCCGCCTATAATCCCAGCTACTAGGGTGGCTGAGGCAGGAGGATTGCTTGAACCCCAGGGGCTGAGGTTTCAGTGAGCTGAGATGGCGTCACTGCACTCCAGTCTGGGCGACAGAGCGAGACTCTGTTTCAAAAAACAAAACAAAACAAAAAACAACAACAAAGAGAAAAACTGCATAGGAGAGAGAACAGGGGAATAGAGTGCTCAAGACTGAGCTAAAACCATCCCCAGAAAGACTGGAAACAGCCTAGTTGTCCTTCAATAGCTGGATAGTTAAAGGTTAGACCAGCATGGTACATCCATGCCCCAAAATGCTGCTCAGTAGTCAAAAGGAAGGAACTGTTGTCTCAGAATGCGGATGGATCTCCAGGTCATTCTGCTGAGTGAAAACAGACAATCTCAGAAAGCTATCTTTGTGTGATTCCATTGATGTAACACTCTTGAAACAAAATTTTAGAAACGGAGAGCACATTAGTGGTTGCCAGGGGTTAAGCAGATGTGGCTGTAAAAGCGCTGCGGGAGGGATCCCGCGGTGACGGAGCACTCTGTATCCTGACTGTATCCATGTCAACACCCTGGTTGTGATGTGGTCATACAGTGTTGCAAGATGTTACACTGGGGAAAACTGGGTACAGGGTACAGTGGGCCTCTCTGTATCATTGCTTACAACTGCTTGTGAATCATGACTCTACAGTTAAAAAGCTCGGTGAAAAAAAAAACCCTCATTTACAATCGCATCAAAAAATGTGAAATACTTGGAGATAAATCTGACAAATATGTGTAGGACTTGTAGACTGAAAACTACAAAACATTGGTGAGAATGAAAGGCTTAAATCACAGTACGCTAACAATAGATGGATCTGATGAATGTAAGTGAAGGGAAATAGTGTTGATCACAGACCTGAAATTTTTCTTTTTCCTTTTTTTGAGACAGTCTTGTTCTGTCACCCAGTGTGTAGTGCAATGGTGTGATCACAGCTCACTGCAACCTCTGCTCCCCGGGTTCAACAAATTTTCCTGCCTCAGCCTCCTGAGTAGCTGGGATTACAGGCGCCCACCACCACGCCCAGATAATTTTTGTATTTTTAGTAGAGACGGGAGTTTCACCATGTTGGCCAGGCTGGTCTGGAGCTCCTGACTTCAAATGATTCGCCCACCTCGGTCTCCCAAAGTGCTGGGATTATAGGCATGAGCCACCATGTCCAGCCTGAAATTTTTCAAAATAAAATGCTGGTAAGAGGGAAAAAACAAAAAAAGCATAGGAAGAAGATTTTAGGAATGCATAGTTAGTTCTGCTATAACACAATATATGTGTTCCTAAAAAACCAGTGCTCTATGCAAAAATCACATAATAAAAACCACTGGGCTTATGGGAAAAGTGGGGTTAACCGCACAACACTCCAAAATTTTGTCAGTAGCCCATAAGAAACAAAAAGATAGGAACTTAATAAAAATAGTCATTGAGTTTTGCACGTTTGATGGTTAAGAAAAGCATGTATATTGCAATAAATATGACACTTGATCTTGAAAAAGCCCTGGAGTTTGTGTGTGGACGTGTGTGTTACCAGACATGGAGCTGTAACACCAGATGTGGATGGATGCAGCTCATAACACACGAGGTGGATGCGGAGCTGTGGGTATTTGAGGCATCCATCTGGGTGTATTTTGGCTCGGTTCAGTTGGGTACAACTTTCTGTGCTCACCTAGAGTTTCTTGTAGACCACATTGCACATAAGCAAGTGTGAAATTCACGTCATGCTCAAATTGTTCCCTAATACTGTAACTCAATCTCATGGGAACAAATTTCTGTTTTCAAAACAAGTATTAACAGAATGGACTGTGCTTGTTAAAGTCACAGGTGGCAATCATCAACAACTTGTTAGACAGTTTGCTCTTTAAATGCATAGATTTCTAAATCTAAAAATTAGGAAAAAAAAAAAATGAAACCTCATGCCCAGGTGTGACCATTTCTTGATTGCATCCTCACAGGATTTTGGGTTGAAAGAAAACAAAGTCCCTGATTCTGCCACAGCCCACCCAAGCATGTCCTCAGAGGTGGCATTGAATTGTCCCATTGCACTGTCCCCTGTTGTCTGAGACTGCACTGTGGGCCAAACACCCATGGCAGGCCCCACGGAGGGAACTCTGATACCATGTCATCTCCACTCAGTCATCTAATTAGATGTTGGTCAGGTACCCACTGGAGGCCGGACAGCACATAAAGGTGGGGAGGGGGTTTGTGGGGGGCTTCTGATGGAGACGAGTAGACCAGGTGAGTACTAAATGACTCAATCTAGATGAGAGGAAGAAAGGGTCATAGGTATTCATTCGGAACCCAGAAGGCCTCAGACAAGTGCTGTGCACCTCGCCCTGGACAACCCAGCAGGGTCACCCTGCAGCTGCAGGGCAGGCTCTGAGCTTGGGCGGGCACAGACTCTGAGCCTGGGCAGCCTGAGGGTACAGAGGGTGCCAGAATTAGGCCCCTTTCGTTGCCTTTGGGAGATCAATGCCTGCAAGGGCCCCGATGCAGCCAGGTGGAAGGGGCTCAGCGTGGGGACAGTCTCTCCCATGTGCTGGCTGGCCTGGGGACAGCTTTGCCTCTGCGGATTAGTGTGAGAGGTCAGGACTCCCATGAAGCCATGGCCGCCCCCCACCAGGACATGAGAAGGTACCAGCTCCTGGAGTTTTGTGTCCCAGGCCTGGTCAGGACACTTGGGCTGCCAGGGGGCCTGCTCCTGGGCCACTCTCAGGCCAACTCCAGGCTGAGGACCGGGAGCTGGAGGAAGGGGCTGGTGGTCTCTGAACCACTAGCTTCCCTGTGGTTCCTGCCCTGGTGGCTGAGGTTAGTGCGACTCCCCTCAATCCAGCCCGGTCCAGAACGTTCTGAGTTGGGGATGGGAGCTTCTTCCCACCAGAGAAAGCATTGCAAACCTTTTTGTGGTGAAAACATCCAAATGGACAGAAAACTAGAGAGGGTGGATCCATGACCCTATCGCCCATCACCCAGTGGGCCCAGTTCTTGACTCTGTTTTGCCAAGAAGGGGGATCAAGTCCCCAGCTTTTGAAGATATGCCAGACTGGGTTTGAAAACTTCCGCTTCTCTCAGACAGAGCACTTTCCAACCCTTGGCCCTAGTGGGTCCATCTATGATGCGGAGACAGGAATCCCAAACTCAGAGGGGGCTGCGAAGATCTAATGAAGGAACCTTTGCGAGGGGCTCCCTGGAGAGGCAGACACACTGAGGGTGAGGAATTCAGGTTGGACCTGTCTCCGGCCACAGCCAGTCCAGGGCTTAGCCCATCCTTGCTGTGTGCCGCAGCCCCTTGCTCTCAGCTTTGCCTCTCACAAGCCTCAGGTCCTCTGTAGGCACTATAGAGAGGCGATAGTCAGGCCCCACTCCATCCTCCTCCTCCCTGCTGCCCACCGAGGTTCCTTCACCATCTGGACATAGCCCTGAGCCTGGGCTCAGCTCCAGTCCCAAGGCTTGGGCTTGCAGGGCATCAGCTCCAGCGACCTGCCTTCTCCCCCCATCGAGGGCTGTGTGACGTGTGTGTGCATGTGTATGATGTATGTGGTTGTGTGTGTGTGGTATGTGTGATGTGTGTGGTTGGCAGTCAGCTGGGTAGGCCTAGACCTGCCCAGTGACCCCAGGGACAAAGGAGCAGTCCTTTCGGATCCTCCCAGCGCAGGGATCCTCTGATGGACAAGGAGACGCTGCAGTCAGAGGCACTGTGTTTTCAGGACAGACTGAGGCAAAGCATTTTGGCAAATGGCCTTGGAGCCCTGAACACCCTGAGACCTTGTCACCGCCAAGCCCCCGGACCAGGTATACACAGCAATTCTAAATTTGCTAATAGCCTCATTAAAAAGCAAAAGGAAACAGGTGAAATTAATTTTCATAATATATTTTACTTAACCCAATATATCTAAAATGTTACCATTTCAAAATTTAATTTGTATATGACTGAGATATTTTGCATTTCTCTTCATGCTCCGTCTTCGAGGTCTGGCATGCACCCGGCACTCACAGCACGTCTCAGTGGGACCAGCCCGGCTTCCAAGGCTCAGCAGCCACTGGAGACAGCACAGGTCTAGTGCAGTTGCTCTCAACTCTGCTGTGCATTACAATCACCTGAGAGCTTTGAAAAAGTGCCAGTTTCCGGGCTGCCTGGGAACCCCCTCATAGTTACATGGGAATCTCAGGGAGGGGTGGGGCAGACAGGGGTCACTGATCCTGGGGTGGGAGGTGTCACAGCCCCACGGAAGGGCTTCCCATCAGAGGGAACAGCGTGTGCAAAGGCAGGGGAGTGGGGAAGAGCAATGTTTAGGGGGAACTGTGAGTGGTGGTGTGTGTGTGCAGTTGTGTGTGTGATTGTGATGTGTGTGCACATGTGTGTGTTGTATGTGGTATGTATTATGTGTGTGGTGTATATGGTTGTATGTGTGTGGTGTGGATGTGTTTGGTATGTGTGATGTGTGCAGTTGTGATGCTGTGTGTTCGTGTGGTGTGTGTGTGTGTGTGTGTGGTGTGTGTGGGGTGTGGTGTTGTGTGTGGTTTGTGTGATGTGTATGGCATGTGTGGTTGTGTGTATGTGATGTGTGATGTGTGTGGTGGTGTGTGGTTGTGTGATGTGTGTATGCAATGTATGTGTGTGCATGTATGTGTGGAGTGTATGATTATGCATGTGTGGTGTATATGGTAGGTATGGTGTGTGTGATTGTGTGCATGTTGTTTGTATGATGTGTATATGTGTGACTGTGTGTGATTATGTGATGTGTGTGTTGTGTATGGTGTGTGGTGTGTATGCAATTGTGTGATGTGTGTGATGTGTGATGTATATGATGTGTTTCGTGTGTGGTTGTGTGTGGTGTGTGTGGTTGTGTGATGCACATGGTTGTGTATCTGTGTGTGGGGTGTGTGCACTGTGTGTGGTGTGTGGTTGTGTGTGATTGTGTGATGTATGATGAATGTGATGTGTGTGGTTGTGGTGTGTGTGGTTGTGTGTGTGATGTATGTGGTTGTGAATTTGTGTGTGAGGTATGTGGAGTGTGTGTATTGTGTATGGTTGTGTGCAGTGTGTTATTGTATGCGATTATGTGATGTGTGTGGTTGTATGTGGTGTGTGTGGTATATGTGTGTTGTATGTATGTGATGTGTGTGGTTGTGTGGTGTGTGGTATGTGTGGTTTTATGACGTGTGTGGTTCTGTATTTGTGTGTAGGGTGTGTGTAGTGTGTGTGGTTGTGTGTAGTGTGTGATTGAAGTGTGATGAATAAGATGTGTATGGTTCTGTGTGGTTTGTGTGGTATATGTGTGGTGTGCATGTCGTGTGTGGTTGCGTGGTTGTGTGTGTGGTTGTATGATGTGTGTGGTTGAGTGTGGTCTGTGTGGTTGTGTGTATGCGATGTGTGTGGTTGTATGGGTGGTGTGTAGTGTGTGTGGTTGTGTGATATGTGTGGTTGTGTGTTTGTGTGGGGGTGTGTGTATTTTGTGTGGTTGTGTGTATGTGACTGTGTGATGTATGTGATATGTGTGGTTGTGTGTATTGTGTGTGGTTGTATGCAGTTGTGTGATGTATGTGATGTGTGTGGTTATATGTGGTGTGTGTGGTATGTGATGTATGTGGTGTGTATGTGGTGTGAGGTGTGTGGTTGTGTGATATGTGTGTTTGTATGTGGGGTATGTGTATTGTGTGTGATTGTGTGTATGCGATGTGTGTGGTTGTGTCTGTGGCATGTGTGGTTGTGTGTGCGATGTGTGTGTTTGTGTGTGGGGTGTGTGTATCATGTGCAATTATGTGTATGTGATGTGTGTGGTTGTGTGTGATATGTGTGGCTGTGTGTGATGTGTGTGTGGGGGGTGTATGTATTGTGTGTGGTTGTGTGTGTGATGTGTGTTTGTGTGTGGGGTATGTGTAGTATAGAGGGTGTGAGTTATGTGTGTGGTATGTGAACCCGGCTCGCCACTTCCTGACCTCAGCAATCTTAGAGCTGTAAGTGCCCTGACATGGAGTTGCAGTGGCTTCTGACTCCCAAAGGTGCCCATTCTTCTGTGGCCACTGCCTTTTTAAAAAAGCAATTTTATTGGCTTCAGTCATCAAAATCTGATACAGAAGAGAGAAAAGAGAAATTCTTCTGGTTGAAATGTGTGTATGTGTGTGTGCATGGTGCGGGGTGTGCATGGGCGTGCTCGTGTGTGTGTGTGTGTGAATGCACACACGCGCTCATGCCTGTGTCTGTGTTTGGATGTGGGGCCTCCTCAGACGGCTTGCACTCCGAATAGCTTGCTTGGAAACCACAGCGCTCACTGGCTGCTGGTGAGACCCGGCCCAGAGAGGGCCACCTTTGAGCAGGGTTAGTGCTCTTTGGCCAGGGCCCTTTCACACCCTCAGGCTGCCTCTGGTCCTCAGGCTCAATCTGGAAGACACTACTCCTCCCACTCACCCCCATACTTTCTGTGTGGTCTTAGGCAAGTCACTGCCCTCAGGACTCTGGCCCCATGTTGAGTAAAATGGGTGGCCAGATATGGGCCTCTGACGCATGGCCCTTGCTGCCATTCCTCCAGGGCTTTCCATGCCAGTCCCAGGGTGTTCTGGACATGACCCTTACCCCTGAACCAGCTCTGATCCCATTGCAGCCCGAGGTGGGTTCCTGGGCTCCTTGGGGCAGGATGCCAGGCCATTCCAAGCCCCAGCACTGAAACTCCTCCTCCCCCTGAAAATGACTTTGCAAAAATTATAACAGTAAGAAAATGATGGCAGTGAAAGAGATCCGACCTAACGGACTCCATCTTGCTTCTAACCTCCAAGCGATCCTTGTTCATTCCTGGGGGTAGGTAGAACTAATTTTGGGAGAAATTTAGTTTATAGTTTTACTTTGCAACAAAAATGATAAGAGCCCTTTCCTGAAACAACCCCGCTTCTTGCCTGGGGACCAGTCCGCCTTTGAAGGACTAACAAATTAGTCACAATATTAGAAATTACGGTTTAGGAGTCACGCAGCCAGGGGCTGCAAGATTTGGAACCTCCCCAAACTGCTCCTGGGGCTAACGTCACTGTTGTAAAAACTCAGATTAATGCTAGAGCTACTTTGCAGACCCTGTGTTCCAATGCACCAGCAGGCACCCAGACCGGTACTCTGGCTCAACCAGTTCTGCGATGCCACCCAGGAACCGAATGAAGACAACAAAATAATCCCACTTTGACACTCTATGATTTTATTTCTGACTCCACCAATCAGCACTCCCCACTTTCCGACTCCCTACCCACCAAATTATCCTTAAAAACCTGAGTCTCAGAATTTTCAGGGAGACTTAAAAATTTGAGTAATCATAAAACTCTGGTCTCTCATACAGCTGGCTCTGCATGAATTAGTCTTTCTCTATTACAATTCTCCTGTCATGATAAATCGGCTATCTGGGCAGCAGGTGAGGAGAACCCCTTGGGCGGTTACACCCCCACAGAAACCCTCTCTCTGCTTCCTGCTCCTCTTGCCGTTCCCCGCCCAGGCTGGCTCTGCCATGCCAGGGCCTGGCAGAGGAGCAGCAGAGGTGTGGCTGCCAGCCCCGCCTGGAAGCTCTGAGTTCCCTTCCTGCACCCACGTCCAGGACTCCAGCCTGGGCTCTGTAAAGGTCTTCTAAGAGGGGAAACACAAGCCTAGCCAGGGGGTTCCCTGAGGGACTGTGGGTGTGGGCAGGGCCCTTCCCTTCCCAGGGCCTCCTAGAGCCTGAATCTGTGCATACAGCAGGCCAGTCCCACCACCGTGGAATTTCCTGGCTCCAATCTCCCTTTGGTCTGGGCTGTTCCTACCAAGGCTGCCTGGCTGGGGTGGCAGCTTAGTGGGTGGCCTCACAGGACTCACAGCAGCCCCACAGGGGTTCTGTGAGCCTGGGAAGGAAGGAAGGACCCTCCAGCTCATATGGGCCTAAAAGCCACTGGCAGGCATGCTTCAGCCTGGGGGCAGCCTGCAGATGCCCGAGACCCCAGGCCATCACTCAGCCCAGTCTATCCATAATTACCCTGTCCACAGGGGTGGGGGTGGGGCGCCTTAAAGTGGGAAGCCCTCCCTGCCTCCCACCCAGGGTCAAGCCAGTGATATGCTGATAACCTTCAGTGACCCACCCCCTGCCACAATCACTCAGGGAAAGCCAGAAAACCCAGAGCTTGGGCTTGCTAGGTTGAACCTCTGCCGTTTCCTCTCCTTGAGTCTAATGGGCACGTGGGCTGGTGGAGACATGTAGGGTCTGAGAAATTACTGGGTCAAGGGTATGGTGGTGAGAAGGGAGGTGTGAGAGAGAGAAAACTCGGGAGGTGCAGTCTGTGGAAGAGAGTACATATGACCCCTTGCTGGGGTGTGTGGGAAGACCGGGGCAGGTACCTGTCACCATAATCTGTCCACTCAGTGGATGAGCCCTCCCTAATGGGGATGCCAGCTGGATTTTGACATTTCAGGCACTTCAAATGCTTTTAAGGCATTTGCTAACAAAGAGGTGAATAAGAGAGCTTCATGGCATGGAGGAGCAAGTGAGGTCTAGGCAGACCTCACTGCCCTTTGCCAGCTGTGTAACCTTGGGCAAGTGCTTACCCCACTCAGGCTTGGTTTCTTCATCTATAAAATGGGCTTCTTGGCTCTGTCTCAGAGGTCGTGATGGGGTCAGAGGTGATGAATGCAAAGTCAGTGAGTAGGGCCTCTTCCTCACCAACCAAATGGGGACTGAATTCGAGGTCTTGCCATGTGTTTCATTAGCATTTGAGCCCACAGTGCCAATAAAACGGACAGAATGGGAGGTTCTGTGCTAGGCAACATGTGCCTTCTGGCATCTGCACCACTGTCTAGGTGGAGCAGTGTTTGGTGAAGAAGGGAAGAGAGATTTCTGGTGGCCCATCGGCAAGGAGAGGCAAGGAGAGAGAGTGCTATAGTTTGAATGTCTGTCCCCTCAAACCTCATGTTGAAATGTGAACCCCTAGGCCAGGCGCAATAGCTTATGTCTGTAATCCCAGGACTTTGGGAGGCTGAGGTGGGCTGATCACGAGGTCAGAAGATCGAGGCCATCCTGGCCAACATGGTGAAACCCCGTCTCTACTGAAAATACAAAAATTAGCCAGGCGTGGTAGCACATGCCTGTAGTCCCAGCTACTCGGGAGGCTGAGGCAGAAGAATCGCTTGAACCCGGGAGGCGGAGGTTACAGTGAGCCAAGATCACGCCACTGCACTCCAGCCTGGCGACAGAGCAAGACTCCATCTCAGGAGGCAGGAAGAACAACTGAACCCTACTGTTGGAGGTGGGGCCTAATTGAGAGGTGCTTGGGTCATGGGGCCAAGTTCCTCATGAATGGCTTGGTGCTGTCCTAGAGGTAGTGAGTGAGTTCTCCCTCTATTAGCTCCTGTGAGAGCTGGTGTTAAGGAGCTAGGCACCACTCTCTTTCCCTCTTGTTTCCTCTCTCACCATGCAATCTCTACACACACCGGCTCCCCCTCACCTTCTGCCATGAGTGGAAGCAGCCTGAGGCCCTCACCAGAGGCCCAATCTTGAACCTTCCACCCAGCAGAACTGTGAGCCAAAGAAACCTCCTTCGTTTATAAAGTATTCAGCCTCAGGTGTTCCTTTATAGCAACAAAAAATGGACTAAGACAGACAGAAATGGCAATTTTGCTCCTAGGCACAGTCTAAGGGAGGGACTCTTCACCTGCCACTCCTTTCTTGCAGAAATAACAGTGCAAGACTGTACAAGGACCCAGGCCCTGCTTCAAGTGCTTCCTACGTGTTGACTTGTCATCTTGCGAACACCAACATGAAGCCATCCCCATTTGTCAGAAGTAGGACAGTTGACAGAAATAAGTAATTTTCCTGAGGTCATAGAGCTAAGAGCTGCAGTGCTTCAGGGGTTGAGGGTATTTAAAATGGTAAAATGTTTTTCACTGAGTCAATTAAAAAAATTAGCATTTATAGGCGGTAAAGTGGCTGTTCTTACAGTATCTCATTTAATTGCCACAATAATCCTGGAAGGTACATCTTCTTATCGGCATTTTCTAGATGAGAAATCAGAGCCTCACAGAGGTTAAACAGGTGCCTATGGAGGCAGAATGAGCCAGAGACAGAACTGGGATTTAAGCCAGCTCAGCCTGACTCCCGGTAGTGGTTTTTGCCACCCACAACAGGGATGCATGCTAGAGCCAAACCCCTAGTGCCTTTGAAAGGGCCTGGCTGGGGTCTAGCCCCCCGCCCATCCTCCACACAGCTGATGCTTTACATTCTGGCAGATGGCAGGGCAGTTTGCCCCAGCATCAGTTGCTGAACGCCACTTTGTGGGGGACAGACACGGACAGATAGTCACCCAGCCTGAGCAGATCAGGCTTCCTGAGGCAGGGCTTGGGGCTTTTGCTGAGGGCACAGATGCTTTTGAGAGTCTGGTAAAATTGTGAGTCCTTTTCCCAGAAAAACACACATGGGACAAATACCCCCTTTTGCATCCAATTCAGGGTGTGCAAAAGCCCTCAGATTAAAGAACTCCAGGCCTAAAGAATGATCTAGATGAGAAGGCTGCCTTGAGTGCTTTTATGGGACAGAGCAGGGAGTAGCCGAGAGAGAGAGTGGAGACCAGCCAGGGGAAATGTGGGGCGGGCAGCCCATCACAGGGGCTAGCATCAGCCAGAGCCTAGCAGTAAGGACTCCAGGAACACAGTGGAACCAAGATGGGCTGGCCAGATGGGCAGGACCATGTGGCCCACTGAGCACAGCTGTGAGCACACAGTTCTGTAAGAAACGGGCACCCATCAGGATCTTAGATGAGCATATCAGCAGCCCTTTGCTGCGTTGAGCCCCCACTGGGTCCCAAGATCCTTACTTTGGACAATGTAGTCCCTGCTTCCATCATTAGGTATGGTTGAAAACAGCTTGTCCAGCAGAGCAGATGCTGCCTGCCCAAGGGTTTGTCTTTGTCTTCTCTGCTCAAATCCTCTTTTTGTGATGGATTAAATGGAGCCTGTTCCTAGTTACTGGCTTCCCAACCTACTCTTTTTTTTTCTTTTTTTTGGGACAGAGTCTCACACTGTCGCCCAGGCTGCAGTGCAATGGCATGATCTTGATTCACTGCAACCTCCACCTCCCGGGTTCAAGTGATTCTTGTGCCTCAGCCTTTGAGTAGCTGGGATTACTGGTGTGGACCAACACATCCAGCTAATTTGTGTACTTTTAGTAGAGATGGGGTTTCACCATGTTGGCCAGACTGGTCTTGAACTCCTGACCTCAGGTGATCTGCCTGCCTCGACATCCCAAAATATTGTGATTACAGGCATGAGTCAAAGGCCCCAGTCTACATTTGTAGGCAGGCTGGCATTGTGCGCATGGCTGACCCGTTCAAACTTTGACTACAATCTACAGTTAGAAATACAAATTACCTGTCAGGCATGGCGGCTCACGCCTGTAATCCCAGCACTTTGGGAGGCTGAGGCGGGTGGATCACCTGAGGTCAGGAGTTTGAGACTCGTCTCACCAACATGGTGAAACCCCATCTCTACTAAAAATACAAAAATTAGCTGGGTGTGGTGGTGGGTGCCTCTAATCCCAGCTACTCGGGTGACTGAGGCAGGACAATCACTTGAACCTGGGAGGCAGAAGTTGCAGTGAGCTGAGATCGTGCCATTGCACTCCAGCCTGGGCAACAGAGACTCTGTCTCAAAAAATAGCAAAACAACAACAAAAAACAAATTATGACTCAAACAAATTTACAAGAAAAAACAAACAACCCCATCAAAAAGTGGGCGAAGGATATGAACAGACACTTCTCAAAAGAAGACATTTATGCAGCCAAAAAACACATGAAAAAATGCTCATCATCACTGGCCATCAGAGAAATGCAAATCAAAACCACAATGAGATACCATCTCACACCAGTTAGAATGGCGATCATTAAAAAGTCAGGAGACAACAGGTGCTGGAGAGGTTGTGGAGAAATAGGAACACTTTTACACTGTTGGGACTGTAAACTAGTTCAACCCTTGTGGAAGTCAGTGTGGCGATTCCTCAGGAATCTAGAACTGGAAATACCATTTGACCCAGCCATCCCATTACTGGCTATATACCCAAAGGATTATAAATCATGCTGCTATAAAGACACATGCACATGTATGCTTATTGCGGCACTATTCACAATAGCAAAGACTTGGAACCAACCCAAATGTACAACAATGATAGACTGGATTAAGAAAATGTGGCACATATACACCATGGGATACTATGCAGCCATAAAAAATGATGAGTTCATGTCCTTTGTAGGGACATGGATGAAGCTGGAAACCATCATTCTCAGCAAACTATTGCAAGGACAAAAAACCAAACACCGCATGTTCTCACTCATAGGTGGGAATTGAACAGTGCGAACAGTTGGACACAGGAAGGGGAACATCACACACTGGGGACTGCTGTGGGGTGGGGGGAGGGATAGCATTAGGCGATATACCTAATGCTAAATGACGAGTTAATGGGTGCAGCACACCAACATGGCACATGTATACATATGTAACAAACCTGCACGTTGTGCACATGTATCCTAAAACTTAAAGTATAATAATAATAAAATTAAAAAACAACAACAACAAAAAAACAAATTACGGTGTGACACAGTATGCACGCATATACAAACTCTAACTTTTTTTTTTTTTGTATTTCATTTCATTAAAAACTTACTGGTCTCAGTCGTGACGGATTTCACACCCACTGGTGAGTTGCAACCCACAGTGAGCTGGGATGCCAGAAGAAGGCCTAGGCTGTGCTCCTGCCCTCTCTTTGTTGGATCTAGGGCTGAGCCACAGCAGGCCCACCAGAGAGAGTCACCTGGGCACTAGGAAACACTGCCACTCTGTTCTAAGGCAGAGCTCAGAACAGTCAGCTCGCAGCTGCACCCTATCCTCAGGGTAAGAGCCATACCCAGCTCTTTATTGAGTTTATATTTTACCATGAGTTCCTTAGTGGTGTTGGAAATAATTTGAGGCAGCTTATAATAGTAAGTATTTTTCTCCCAGTGGAGATGAGAATCCTATAGAGATAGGGCAGCGGTGTCTGGCAGAGTGCTTCATCCGCTATAAAGGCTGTCCCTGGATTACTGCTGCTGTCCTTCCCCAGACACCTGGGAGGAAGGAGAGCCATTGAGGGGACCCAGGAGAGACAGGGACCTGGCTGTGATGAAGCCGCTGGGCAGGAATGGAGGCTCTGCACATGGACATAATTTCACATTCAGATGATGAAAATCTTAATTAATCCTGTGAGCTGATGGATCCATTCATCCATTCATTCAGTAAACACCTTTTGACATAATGTAAGGCTCATGTCTTGCAAACAGTGGCATCAGCTTAAGATGCAAGGAACATCTTGTCACCTTCAGCTGTGGCCACTGTTTGTTAATTGGCAGCTAAAATCTTTCTGATGCTAGCAAGCATCCAAAAGCATTTTTATAAACACAGAGAGGAGTCTTCTCCCACCTTCCTCTTCTTGGTCTTTCCTGTCTCTAACTCTCAACTCCTCCCCACCTGGGAGCAGTATAATAGCCAAGGGACTGAATTTCAGCCAAGGACTGAAATTGCAATGTGAGGGGAGGCCTGTCTGGGCAGGGACGTGGGCGTGCGGCCCACACATCAGGGCTCCTGGTCCTCAGGTATCCTCCAGAAACCTGGACCCATGCTCCTGAGAAGGCGATGCTGAATAGAAATAACAATGAGGCCTTTCCCTGTCAATTTGATGAGTGCTCAAGAAGCGATAGCTAGCACTATTTCCATTTTAGATAAATGGACATCAAGTCCCCAAAGGCTAAGTAAGTTGCCCAAGGTGATAAAGTCAGTTAGCAGAGCTAGGTTCAAAGCCAGGTCCTCAGGCCACAGTAAAGTTTGGCTCCACATCTGCTGCTTCTGTGAGGCCAAAGCTCTGCTACTCCCAGGGTGTGGCCAGGCTTGGCTTTATGTTTTCTGAAGCCAGGAAGGCAAAAGCTGTGATGTTCAGGTGGGATGTCCAGGTGGAATGTCCAGGTGGGATGTCCAGGTAGGATTCCCAGGTGGGGTGTCCAGGTAGGGTGTCCAAGTGGGAGGTCCAGGTGAATCAGGTATGATGGTCATGGTCCCAGGTCATGGCTGAAGCAACCTCTTAGCAGCTGGGAACTGACAGGGTCATTGAGGCTGCAGAGAGGGAATCCGTGTTAATGGATTATCCACGGTGCCCTGGCTATAGATGTGACACTCCTGGGGCGAAGGGAGGCTCTTCACCTATCTAAAGCTCAGATGGAAGCAATTGGCACTAGGTTTACAGCAAATCAAAATCACCATCCTGCAGCCAGTTTTCGCAAAGGAGTCACTGGTAGAATGTTTGGCAAAGAGAGTTGTCATCATTCACTCTCACGTTCCTTCCTTTGTTTAACAAGCATTTCCGAGGTATGCCTTATTTCAGGCACTGGAACATAGCCCTGAATCAAAGATGGCTCCTCTCCCTGAGGAACTCACAGGCAGCTGAGGGGAAGGATGATTCGCAAGCAAACAATTACCATACATGCCACAGCTGTTAACCCTGACTCAGAACTTTATAGACGCCAGTAGTTCTCAGCAATACTGAGCGCTTCGCAGCAGCTATTGTATGCATTTATTAAAATGACCTTGGGACAGCTTTTGCAGATGAAAAGCTGAGATTCAGAGAAGTGAAATAACTTGACTGTGATCACACAGCTCACTAGAGGCAGAATCAGGATTTGAACTTGGATCTCTGGCTGCAGAGGCCACACTTGTGGCAGCTGTCCCCCCGAAATGAGCGTCTGATAACAGAAGCTGTATATTGAAGAGTTCTTCAGGCAGATCCAGGTGGGAGGCAGCTGGGTCAGAGGACCCATGTGCAAAGCACAAAGATGGGGACGTGTGGCCCCAGTGACCACTGGCTGGGCTTGGGGCTGGGGGTGAATGGACATGAAGGGAGAAGGGGTGAGAGGATGACCAGGGCCTCCCTAACTGTCTTCAGTTTTAGCTCAGTACTGTCTTTTTTCTTTTTATTTTCTTTTCTTTTTTTTTTTTTTTTTTTTTTTGAGACAAGGTCTCACTTTGTTGCCTAGGCTGGAGTGCAGTGGTGTGATCTTGGCTCACTGCAACCTCCGCCTCCCAGGTTCAAGCAATTCTCCCACCTCAGCCTCCTGAGTAGCTGGGACTATGGGTGCACACCACCACACCTGGCTAATTTTTTTTTTGTATTTTTAGTAGAGATGGGGTTTTACCATGTTGGCCAGGCTGGTCTCAAATTCCTGACCTTTAAGTGATCTGCCCAACTCGGCCTCCCAAAGTGACGGGATTACAAGCATGAGCCACTGCACCTGGCCAGTTTTAGCTCAGTACTGAGGGCTAGAGCTGAACCTGAGCCTTGGGTTGCTGCGAGAGCACCACATCACCCATTTGGAACCCCTCCCTTGCTGCCCTCTGCATCCTGCTTGGGGAGAGGGAGGATTGGTGCATCACTTGGGAAGCCCATACACCTGTCTAATAGCTGTGTCCTTAGGCAAGTAACTTGCTCTCTCCAGTTCCAAGTTCTAATTTGTAATGATTTGATGGCTGAGAAAGGTAATATGCATAAAGTGCTGTGTTCATTAGACCTCTTTGACTTCAAGGAGTGGAAACCCTGATGAATTTAGGAGTGAACCTGGACCAAGGTTGGAACAAAAGCACCTACAGAGGAGTATAAAACTGGAACCTGGGGCTGGCCTGACTCCAGACACTGTCTCTAGTCTCTTTCTCTCCAACAGCTCATCCATGTGGCTACCAGTTTTCTTCCTAAATATTTCCTTGTTAGTACCCTGCTAAAAAGCCTATGAAGGCTTGCCAATAACACAAAATAAATCTCAAAATGTTGAATCTTGCCTGCCTCTCTGCTGTTAGTCTCCTTACCCCACACTCCTCTCTAACCCATCATTTTCTTGTACTCTAATTTCTGGTGTTTTTACCTTCTGAAATGCACCATTCCAAACCTGGAGAACCCCAACTTATGGTTTGGAACCATCCCAAGTGGATACTAGGCCATATATATTACAGAAGAAGTGTTTATACCAATAGCAACTGACCGGTGACACATACAAGTCGTTTACTGGTCAGTGACCTGGGCAAGTAACCCTGATATCACTGCTCACTTTGGACACAGGGCCTGCCCTAGGTGCAATGCCAGTTGAGGGAGGAAGGCTGCACAGGCACACAGAAGGGCTGCCTTCTCTGTGCAATTGTATGATTTGGCCTCATGGTGTTGCCAGTCTGTCTCTGGGGCAGCTGCTTGCAAACTGTAGGTTTTTTCATGTCTTTGTGCTGTTGGAATGATGATATAGCTAAGGGGCCTGTATGATCCCCACATAACTCAGGGCCATCAAACAGTCACATTGCTTCCTCATGCAGGGACTGAGAGGCACTCCTGGTTTTCACACCTTCTCTCTTGCTGTGTTTCTCGTAGGTCCATTTCACAGGCCACAGCTGCTTTGGCTATGGCTTTATAACGGCGGCCTTTAAAGCAATCTGCTTTCCCTTCTCAACCTCCCTGAGGATCCCTGGGCAGTGAGTGGTTCTGTCAGCTGGGGTTCCACAGCATAGTGAGACCACACCTCTGGGCTCTGACATGGGCAAAGGACCTGAGAGCCCAAAGCATCTCACTTGCGTCAGGGGCTATGGGAACTGGGAGCGAGGGCAGATCCAGCCACCTGTGACAGGTGGCTGCAAAATACTGGAACTACTACCAGGGCTAAGGCTAGCAAGACCTGCATGCCTAAGAGGGCAAAAGGGGGCAAAGGGAGGCTCAAAGGTAGTTCCTGGGCCAGGCCCTCGGCCAATGACTGGACTGGCTAACTCCTCCGTTTTGGCATTTCAGAACCTCGGAGCTGTCAGAGCAAGCCTCATTTGGGACTGGGTACTCTAGAAGGCCAGATGGGAGCAATGACAAAATCCTGGGAGGGTGCGGGTGGGTCTGGGAGGTTAATGCAGTGGGAAGAACAAAACACAGACTTCCTATTGCAAGCGAACATTTTGAAGCATGTGAAAAAACTAATTCTAAGAAAGGTTACAAAACTAATAATAGGAGATGAATTCACTGCCAAATAAATGGAAATATGAGAAAAATCTCAAAACCAAAAAGCCTTAAGCATCTTAAGACCCACAAAGAAGAAGAAATAGCATTCATAAAAAGTAATTATAAAATAAACCCAGGAAGGTATAAATTAAGAACAGATTGGCTCTGAAAAAAAACTGAGTAGAAATCTAGGTATAAAAACTATGATAATTAAATCAATAGATGAGCTAGTCAAAGATACAATTTGCGAATGGAAAACTAAAAGCAGCTCACAGATAGAAGGAGATGAAACTATGGAAGAGAACTTAAAAAATGGCTGAGTTTTAACAACCAATGTTCTGAAGGAGAAAATGTGGAGAGAATGGTAGAGAAGATACAGTAGAAGGAGTGGTAGAATGACATGACCGAGAATTTTCTACAGGTTAAGAAAAGGTGTGACTTCAGAGTAAAAGCATGCATAGAAAGGTCAGCAGGACAAACAAAAGGAAATTTCGAGAGAGACCCCAGAGCAGGTTAGCACTGCCCCTCCCTCCCCACTTTCTGCAACATCATCCCTTCCTTCTCTTTTGTAGCACTTGGGACACTTGTCGTGATTGTTCAAGGGCTGGCCTGGTTCCATATGTGTCTGCATGTCACATGCAGCAAGTGGTCTGGTACCTGGCCTTTGGGACATGCTCAATAAACACGTCAGTAGACAGTTGAGTAACTGATGGATAAGTAGGTCAGTGCCGGGAGAAACCAGGTGCACATGTTCCAGCGTGCGGCCAGGGGGCAGGGGCATCTAAATCACTGCCATGGAGTCTGGGAAACAGCCATGGACAAAATCCACGGCCCCCTCTGGTTGGGCTGGACAGGCCCGGCTGTCCACATGGAGGGCTGCTCCAGGTGCTGAGCCTGAGAGGTGCCCTCTAGATGAAGCTCATTCGGGCAGGTTTGGCCTTAGCAAGGGAAGGAAGTAGGAGGACCAGCTCCTCCATGAGATCTTTCTGGCTTCCCGGCCTGGAGAGCAGCTGGCCCAATAGATGCACAAACGCACTGTCTACAGATATGTAATTTGAGATGGGTTATTAATAGAATAATCTTAATAAGAGCACGATCAACCAGTATTGATACAGCACTTTATGGGTTCCAAAGTGCTTTCACATTTGTAATATCATCGAATCTTAACATCCCGAGAGGATGTCAGTTTTGTACGCATTTTATAGGCTGGGAAACGAAGTCTGGAGAATTGAAAGCCTGGGGACCCTGTGCTCCTATGGGGACAGATTCTGGGCACTGAGCTCACCCTCTGGCCATGATCCTGTGTGCCCTTGCCAGCTCCCTGCCTGTCCCCTCCTTGTCTGGGCAGAGGTTGGGCTGCCAGTGGCCTTTGCTCTCCAGAAACAAAGGGTTTACTGAGTACTTGAATAATATATACAGCAGAGCAGGGCGTATTTGATGGCTTCCCAGGAATAAGCTGTCTTTGACATTTTCAGACACAGAGCAGGACTTCCCTATTGCCTCCACAGAGTGGGTCGTATGTAGGGGGTGTGTCGGAGCCAGAGCAGATCAATTTGGGGTGGGGTCCCTTCTCAGAGAGGTAAGGAAGAGACGGTACAAGCCTTGCTTCCTGCTCTACATCCAGGTACAGCATTCAAGGCTATATTGCTAGCATTTCATACACACCCTTGAATTTTGTTCCTTTCCTTCACACATGAATTCAGTGTAGTGGCTTAAGACCTAGGGACATACAACAGAGGGGAAGGACTTCTTTGGGCACCCCTGAAAACCCATGCTGTCATTCCAATTGTGTTGCTCTTGAGTGTAAGCCCTTCCACTTTAGTGTTTTTCACTATTTTAATAAAACCAGGGGAAAATAAACCATTGGAGCAATGAACAAATGCTGCTGTACAGACATGGAAGTCTTTCTGCCTGGATCTGCTGGCCCATGCAGAGCTCAACACCTCCCCGTAGCTGTGAGCAAAAGTCTGAATCAGGCATATGCAAGACTGCATGTGAGATATATTCAGGGCAGGTCATTCGAAAGCAGAACACGACACGTGGAACTCAGTGACAGCTTGTGTTTCCAAAACATTCATTTATAACAATGGACCTACTTGTGAATTACTCATTCAGCAAACATTTATCATATGCCTTCTGTATGCCAGGCACTGAGACACATCTGGCTGCTTGGGAATGACTGAGACCCCACCCACAAGAAGCTCACAGCCAGGTCAGAGAACTCATGCAGGGTAGAAAGTTCTGTGATGCGACTGAAGCTTAGCACTATCTATAAGGCATGGTTGCTGAGTGAGGTGCTGTATCTCAACGCATTTCTGTATACGTATCCTGAAATTTAGCCTGGACTTTCCCAGTTTCATCTGTATTATATCAGTGTAGCTTTGCTTGCAGAGAAAGTGCTACTTAATATCAGAAATGGGAAGAATCAGCAGAAAAAAAAGTGGACATGCAGTTAGTCACCTTCTGGGCAGCTGGGAAGGGGAGAGAGGCAGGGGAGGTGGGTGGGAGAAGAGACAGGCAAGACTCCGGGACCAGAGGCTAAACCACTTTCCACTGCGGGGCTAGAACATGGCATACGTGATTTCATTTTCTGGGGTTTATTTGAAAGATTACTCTTGGTCTGAGTATGCCTGACAGTTGCAGAATAGAATGAATCCCTTTCGTTTGCTTGTTTGAAAATCATGATGTCTCTTTCGGCAGATCTGTGTTACCTGGCCTTCAGTTGCGATGCTTGGTTTCCCCCTGTGTCTACCTGAGGAAATCCTGCTCAGCCAATATGCCCTCCTCTGGGAAGCCGCCTCTCACCTCCGAAGGCCGAGTGGTGTCAGTGGTCCCCTGGTTCGTGCCTCTCCTGGGGCATTTAGCACGTCCTAGAGCTGACTGTTCATTCCTGGGGCTCCGCTTTGAGGCGATGAGTCTGTGGGGGGCCTCCTCACAGTCTCCTCTGGCTGTTTGCGTGTTGCCTCCCCAGCCCTCGTTTCTTTGCAGGTTACCTTCCTTGCCTTGTTTTTCCCATTGCTGTGGACTCTGGTTTTTGATAGCTTATGAGGCATTGGGGGCTTCCTCCCAAATTTACCTTTGTGTCTGGCTTCCCCACGTGATGGGGAGCCCCTGAGGGCAGGGCCATGGCAGTGTCATCTCCCCATTCCCAGGGCCCAGCACAGAGGGAGTGAAATCTGAGCTGCGATAAGCTGACTCAGGATGGCAGTGCCTTCTGCCCTAGGATGGGGGACCCACTTCTTCTTGAGAGCAGAGACCTTCCTTCCTCATAATCCAGCCCATCCCCAGCACCCAGTTCAGTGCCCAGGACAAGACTGCAGGGGACCTTGGCTGAAGGAAAAGGCATTGAAGGAATGGAGGCATTAGGGCCCTTGCTTTGAGACAAGGGTGGTTATTTTGTGCCTGACCTGGTTTCCTGTGGACAGGTCAGAGCACTTCAGGGACAGCAGGCTCCGTGCAAAGGGGCAAATGTGGACAGCAAAGCCTGCCAGGACAGCGGCTCCTCTGAGCACCCGGTGCATTCCTGCTAAGTGCTTCTTGAAGCCTCATGCCCAGGCATTCCCCGCGTGGGATGCAGATGCACCCCTGGCCCTGCAGTGTGGGAGTGCAGGGACAGTAGATCACTGCTGGACAGTTTCCTCACACCACCCGTTGCCCACGATCCAGAGGGCTCAGGCTGAGGCCGCCTCTCCACCACCTCACAGAAACCAGTGGCCATGGATTATCCGGACGTGGTGGCTATTTGGCCGTGACAGGCAATCACCTTACTGTGCAAACTGGGCCATGCCATCTGGCCTCTCTGAGCCTATTTCTTATACATAAAAAGGGATTGATGGCTGGGCATGGTGGCTCATGCCTGTAATCCCAGCACTTTGGGAGGCCAAGGTGGGCAGATCACGAGGTCAAGAGATTGAGACCATCCTGGCCAACATGGTGAAACCCTGTCTCTACTAAAAATACACAAAAATTAGCTGGGTGTGGTGGCATGCACCTGTAGTCCCAGCTACTTGGGAGGCTGAGGCAGGAGAATTGCTTGACCCAGGAGGCAGAGGTTGCAGTGAGCCGAGATCACACCACTGCACTCCAGCCTGGGCAACAGAGCAAGACTCCATCTCAAAAAAAAAAAAAAAAGGATTGATAGTAAATTTTATCCTTGCCTGGCCTCCAACAGGCTGCCAGGCCACCTCCCTTGGTCTGCAGCTCACAGAAGGCTGTCCTTACATGGTGACCAGTCCACACTACCAAGGCCTGGCCAGAGAACGAGCACGTGGAGGCCTTGGTGGAAAGTGGATAATGCCGTGAAGTTTTCACATGGGTAATTTTGGATTTGATTTGTGGGGACAGGGGGAATCTAATTTTCTGTTAAATGTTTGTACATTTCTTTCTTTATATTTAAAATAACACAATTCAATGGGATTTGACTTATTGTCTGTTTTTGAATTGTCTTATAGCTCTCAGATTTTTCACATTCTAAGACTGGCCTGCATCTGCCGCTCACCTCCACGAACCACTTGAGGAACTGGCGTAGCTGTGAAGTCCAGCTCAGAGTGTATTTGAGAACTCCTCTTTTTTTCTGGCTTACACATCAGTAACGCAGATCCCATTTTTAGATGTCCTCACTTCTGTGTGTGTATGGTTTTTAAATTAAGGAAACATATAAGAGTGTTTAAATTTGAGATAATTAAGTAAGTATCTCATTCCCTGCAAACAGCAGGCATCACTGGGTTCAGAATCAGCCAACTGTAGCTGCTGACTTCAGGGCCTGTCAGCTGGCTGGCCTGAGTTGGGGACAAGATCCATAGTTACTTGGAGTAACTTGCAAACATGCATCACAAGACTTAACATACAATGGTCATGCTGATAAGGAGTATTGTTTTCCTTTCTACCCCGGGGAGGGCACTGTCTTTAACGGGGAAGGCCTGTAGCTCCGTTTGGACGTACATGACTGTATTCTGCATTAACCTGTTCCAGTGAGGCTCTGGTGGCCCCTACAGCCTGGTTCTTGGGCAGAGACCTGGTTTGTAGTGTCCTGTGTGATCCTGGGCCTGCCCATGGGGAGCTGGACTGGCTTATGTCTGAAAGAGGCACTGGTGGTGCATTAGTGTTTCTGTCTATTTCAGAGGCGCTTTCTTCCCTCCCTTCTCCCAGTGTTTCTGGCTGCCTTTTGCAGTCCCTGAAGTTTTTCTCAGGGTCAGTGTGTAGTGAGAAATCAGCCTCAGGGCTGAGATGGACTCTTAATTCTGGACGCCTGTGTCTGTGGCTCTGTCTTAAGCTAGTGGGGCCCAGAGAGGATGTTGGCATGACTCTAAGTGGAATGTCTGCAGCCGGCGTTCTGGATTTTACTGCCCAGTAGAGGTGGAATGCTCCTGTGGTCCTCAGTGAGATTGGGAAGTTCATAGCCCTCCAGCATTGCTGTGGGTGAGTTGACTGCTTCAGGGGCCACTGGATCTTGTCTGGTATGCCCACTGTCAGTCCACCTGTGTATCAGCCCAGCCTCATCAGCATTTACAGAGCACTTACTGTGTGCTAGGTGCTGAATGCAAAGACAGAAACAAAGCATGCCCTGCTCATAGGTCAGTAGGAGAGAGATAGAAGCTGTCTTGGTTTGTTTTGTGTTGCTATAAAAGAATACCTGAGGCTGGGTAATTCATAAAGAACAGAAATTTATTTCTTATAGTTCTGGAGGTTGGGAAGTCCAAATTGAGGCAAGCCACAGACCTTCCTCAAACAGGCACCAGCCTGGTGTGGAAGACAGATATATATGTATGCGTGTGTGTGTGTGCGCACACAACACGGGAAAATTTAAAAGCATTCCTGAACTCTGCCCCACACCCTGTGAATCAGAATCTCTGAACCAGGTTATTATTTGCAAATAAACAAAGCTATAAGAAGCCACATAAAACAAATGCATGGCTTAATGGATTTTTACAAGAGTAAAGCTTTGTAACCACCACCTAGACTAAGAAACAGAACTTTGTCCAGAGGCACCTCCTCACTCTCTTCTCCAAAGTCACCACTACCTTGACTTACAGTAGACACTCCTTTCCTTTGCTTCATAGTCTAATTATTACCCACATGTATATCCCTACACCCTATAATTAAATCTCACTTATTTTATAAAAATACATCTTTTAAAAGTTGGTTAATACACAGGTTTTCCTACCCCCTCCCAAGACCCAGGTCATTTGATCTGTAGAGTTTCCAATAGTCTGGATTTTGCTGACTGCACTCTCATGGTGCTATTCAACATGTCCCCTGTCCTCTGTGTTTCCTGTAAATTGGTAGCTCATCCATGTTCCAGCATGTATCAGTACATCATTCCTTTTTATGGCTATTATTCCATTGTATATCACAATTTGTTTATCCATTCATTTGTTATGGAAATTTGGGTTGTTTCCACCTTTTGGCTATTGTTCATAGTGCTGCTATAAAGATACATGTACTTGTTTGAGTAGTCAGTGTCAGTTCTTCTGGGTATATACCTAGGAGTGGAATTGCTTGATCATACCATAATTCTATATTTAAGTTTTTGAGAAATCACCAAACTTTTCTCAGCAGTTGTGCCATTTTACATTCTCACCAACAATGTCTGAGGGTTCCAATTTTTCTACATTCTTGTTAGCCCTTGTTATTTTCCATTGAAAAAAATATATCCATCCTAAGTCAGGTGCAGTGGCTCATGCCTCTAATGCCAGCACTTTGGGAGGATAGCTTGAGGCCAGGAATTTGAGACCAGCCTGGGCAACATAGTGAGATCCTGTCTCTACAAAAAAATTAAGAAATTAGTAGGGCATGGTTATGCCTGCCTGTAGTACCTCTTAGCTGCTCAGGAAGCTGAGGTGGAGGATCACTTGATCCTGGGAGGTTCAGGCCACTGTGAGCTGTGATGGTGTCACTGCACTCCAGCCTGGATAACATGGCAAGAGCCTGTCTCAAATCAATAAATTATATATGTATTATATAATTTATCATATAATAACATTATTATATATACATATTATAAATAATTATATATAAATATTATATATATCCATCCACCTATTACATATATATACAGTGGGTGTGAATTGGTACCTCATTGCAATTTTGATTTGCATTTCCCTAATTAATAAAAATATTGAGTGTCTTTTCATGTGCTTGTTGGCATTTGTATATTTTCTTTGGAGAAATGTCTATTCAAGTCTTTGCCCATTTTAAAATTGAGTTGTGTGTTTTTGCCGATGAGCTGTAAGAGTTCTTTAAATGCTTTGGATACCAGACCTTTATTAGATGTATGATTTTACTTTGTTGGTAATTTTCTTTGATGTTCGAAAGTTTACTATTTTTATGAAGTCTAATTTATCTAGTTCTTCTTTTGTTGTTCATGCTTCTGGTATCATATCTAAGACTCTATTGCTAAAGCTAAAATTATGAAGATATACTCCTATGTTTTCTTCTAAGAGTTTTATGGCTTTAGCTCTTATATGTAGGTTGTTGACCCGCTTTAAGTTAATTTTTCTATATGGTGTAAGATGGGAGTCCAACTTCATTCTTTTGCATGTGGATATCCAGTTGTTCCAGCACCATTTGTTGAAGAGATTATTTGATTATTATTTCCCCCATTGAATGGTCTTGGCACTCTTGTTAAAAATTAATTGACAATACAGTTGGGCCTGGTGGCTCACATGCATGTAATCCCAGCATTTTGGGAGGCCAAGGCAGGCGGATCACTTTTAGCTCAGGAGTTTGAGACCAGCTGGGCAACATGGCAAAACCCCGTATCTACTAAAAATACAAAAATTAGCCAGGTGTGGTGGTGTGTGTCTGTAATTCCAGCTACTTAGGAGGCTGAGGCAAGAGAATTGCTTGAGCCAGGGAGGTGGAGGTTGCAGTGAGCTGAGATAGCACCACTGCACTCCAGCCTGGGCCATAGAGCAAGCCTCCATCTCAAAAAAAAAGTTAATTGACAATAGATGTATGTAGATAGATCATGGATTTATTTCTGGACTCTCAGTTCTATTTTATTGATCTGTTCTTATGCTAGTATCACACTGTTTAGATTACTGTAGCTTTCTAGTAAGTTTTGAATGTGGAAAACGTGAGTACTCCAGCTTCGTTTTTCTTTTTTCAAGATTATTTTGGCTATTCTGCATTCCTTGATTTTCCATATAAATTTGAGGATTGCCTTGTCAATTTCTGCAAAGAAGTCATCTGGGATTTTGATAGAGATTGCATTGAACTTATAGATTAACTCTGGGATATTTCTATCTTTAACAATAAGTCTTCTGGTCCAAAAACATGATATGTATTTTCATTTATTTTGATCTTTTAAGACCTCTTTCAACAATGTTTTATATTTTTTGGAATATACCATTTGGATTTCTTTTGTTATCTTTATTCCTAAGTATTTTTTGATGTTATTGTAAATGGAATTATTTTTCTAATTTCATTTTTGTCTTGTTCATTGACAGTGTATAGAAACAGAATTGATTTTTGCAAACTGATCTCATGTGCTAAAATCTTGCTGAATTCATTTACATATTTTAATTTTTTTGTGAATTGCTTAGGATTTTCTACATAGAAAAATCGTGTCATCTGCCAATTGAGACCATTTTACATCTTTCTTTCCTATCTGGGTGCCTTTTTTTCCCTTATATAATTGCAATAGTTGGAACCTTCAGTATGATGTTGAATGGAAGTGGTGAGTAGACATCCTTGTTTCTTTTGTGATCTTAGAAGGAAAGCATGTTGTCTTTCCCATTAAATGTGATGTTATCTATGTTTTTTTTGTTGTTGCTGCTTTTTTAGTATATACGCTTTATTAGGTTGAGGAAATTCTCTTTTATTCTTTCTGAGTGTTTTTACTATGAAGGAGTTTTGTATTTTGTCATTTTTTTCTGTATCTATTGAGATGATTATGAGGTTTTGATCTTTTATTCTATTAATATAGTATTAATAGAACAATTAATAATATGGTATTACGTTGATGATTTTTTGGATGTTAAACCAACCCTGCATTCCTGGGACAAACTGCACTTGATCATTGTGTATAATCCTTTTTATATGTTGCTGAATTTAGTTTGCTAGTATTTTGTTATTATTGTATCCATATTCATAAGAGGTATTAGTAGTGTTCTTTTTTTGTGATGTCTTTGTCTAATTTCAGTATCAGAATAGTAATGGCCCCATAGAATGAGTTGGGAAGTGTTTATGCCTAACTTTTTGCAAGTTTGTGAAGAATTGATAATAATTTTTCTTTAAAAGCTCCTTTAAATGCAAATATTTTTAAAACGCAAATTATTCTTTAAATGTTTAATTTCACCAATGAAGCCATTGGGGCTTGGCTTTCTTTTTGCAGTTAGGTGTTGGATTACTAATTTCATCTCTTTAGTTGTTAAAGGTTTCTTTAGACTTTCTATTTCTTCTTTAGTCAGGTTTGGTTTCTGTGTTTTTCTAGGAATTTCTCCAGTTCATCTAAGTCATTTAATTTATTGACATATAATTGTTCATAGCATTCACTTATAATTTTTTATTTTTGAAGGTTAGAGGTAATATCTTCTTTTTCATTTCTGATTTTAATCTTTCTTTTTTCTGGTCAGTATAGTTAAAGATTTGCCAATTTTGTTAATCTTTTCAAATAACCAATTTTGGTTTTTAAAGATTTCTCTATTTTTTTCCCATTGGCATTAGCAAGGGTTGGGGAAGTATTTTCTCTATTGTCTTTATTATTAAGGAATTAGCCTGGTCTATGTTATTTCTAGACTAGCCTCTATTATTTTCTTCTTTCTTCTTGGTTTAGGTTTGGGTTTGGGCTCTATGAATATAGAGCTTGATCAACTACCAGGTACATGCTTGAATTCCATCTTGTGATGACAGAGCTGGGATTACAAAGAGGAATGATACACACACTCTTCCATTGAAAACCCATGGTGCAGTGGGAGAGACTCAAATGCACCACTTCCATATAAGTGGCCAGTGCTATAAGGAGCCATTATCAGGAAGGAAATGATAGCCTGGGAGGGCCTCAGAGAAGTCAGAGAAGCTTCCCAGAAGAGGTGATGTTAGAATGGGGTTTTGAAGGAGAATAGAAATCAGTTAGGTATCGAAGTGAAGGAAGGGAGGTTCTGAGAAGGGGTTAGCATGTGGAAAGCCCAGGGCTGAGAGAACAGGGTGCATTCTCAGAACTGGAAGTTGTGTGGTGTTTTTGGAGCAGGACTGAGAAGGTGAGGCTGTGCTTGAGAGAAATGTAAACAGGGGTCCTGTGCGAGAGTCCACGATCTTTCTGCTTCACAAGGCTGAAGCCAGAGCCCTTCCCTGAGCTCAGGCTCAGCTTTGCCAAGTCAGAAGTGATTGCAGAGCTGTAGAAGAGTTGATCTATTAATGGTATGTAGAACAAAGGGAATATTTTTAAATATTGTAGTACAATATTTAAGAAGCTTCCACATGGCAAGAGGAACTGCAGCCCCTACCCAAAGCCAGAAAGGGGATCCTGCCTCATACTTGCTTTTTTGAGGCTGACTTGCGAGGTGTGAGGCCTACCTCGAGAGTGATGGGGTGCCTCTGTGTGTTCTGAACTCTGCGTGAGGACAGGCCCTGATGCCTGGGCAGAAAAGCGCCTCCCTAGGCCAGACCAGACTGGGCCCAGGCCATCATGGCAAGGACTCCACCAGAGAGCAAAAGGTCAGAGCAGATGAAGCAGGATGGGCAGAGGCTGGCAGGTCTATACCAGGCAGCTAGGGGCACTTAGGGGGTTCTTAAACTCCTAGTCACATCAGGAGCTTTGCATCAGTGCTGTCAAAGGGAAGGCCAGGGTCTGGCCTTAAAAGATACCTCTGAGAGACTGTGCTGTGGGTCTGTGAAGGGACTTGGGTTGTGGCAGGAGAAGTCGGGACTCATCCGGCTCCGAAGAGCCATGCAGCCTCATTCACGTGTCCCACTCCAGTGTAGGAAGTCCTGTCTCACACAGGAGCTGGGGACACTGAGGATGGTGGAGGAATTCCACTACAGGGAGACATCAGGAACACAAAGTGTGGTTGTTGGAGCTGGAAGGTGAGGATGAGTTCACCAGCCAGAGAAGAAGAGAAAAGAGCTCCAGAGAGAAGGTACAGCACATACAAAGGTGTGGAGCACTCACTACTCCCTGGGCAACTTCTGCCAAAAATCAGGACCCTTTCCTCCTATACACCCTTCTCACTTCCTGGGCTGTCATGCATGTTTGCTTGTGCAACACTCTGGGAAGCAGGCGGCACAACCCCATCTCACAGATGAGGAAGCCAAGGCTTGAGAAGTGTGATGGGAGATCTGGGACGAGAGTCCCAGCTCCTGCTCCTGGTCCAGTGCTCTGCTCGTGTGTGTGAGCATGCGTGTGTGTGTGTGTGTGAATATATATGTATGGATGTGTGGATATGGAAGGTGTTTGTGTGAGTGCAGGAGTTTGTATGTGTGAACATGTAGGGTGTTTGTGTATGAGTATTTGTGTGTATGTGCATGTTTGTGTGTGTGTGGATATTTATGGGTGTTTGTGTCTATGTGTGTGTTTGTATGCAGGTGCACGTATATATGTGTGAATATGCCTGTGTGTATGTGTGGATATGCAGGGTGTTTGTGTGTGTATTTGTGTGCATGTGTGTGGACCCCATAGGTGTTTGTGTGTGCAGATGTATGTATGTATGTGTGAATGGGTGTATGTGTGTGAAGGGTGGGCACACACAAGGGCCCTGTGAGAGAGAAGCCCCTAACTTGTCTATCAGTCCTTTCTACACTGGGGATGAAGGTTTTGTGAGCCAGGCAGGCTGACAGCTGACATGGAGAAATCTTGGGTACTGGAGTTGCCAAGACATGTTTCATGTCCATGTTCTGTCACTCATTGGTTGCATCACCTCCTTCACTCTCAGTTTTCTCATCTGTAAAATGGTATCCTCATGGTCTCTCTCATGAGTTGCTGTAAAAAAGGATAATTTTTTTGTGTGAAATTTCTAGGGCCTGGCCCATGGAGGGGATCTGTACAAGCTAGGCTGCTCTCCTCTGAAGATCCCAGGGTAGCCAGCCTGGCTTGGCTTCCTGGGGGCCCAACACAATAGGCTTTTCCTGATGGCCTTGGAATTCAGGTCATCCATGGACACATTGGACCCATGGGCACATAGCCTGTCAAATGTGCAGCTCAGCACTCTCTGGGACCCTGTGGGGCAACAGAGAATCAGGCAGACGGGTATTGGGGTGACCCGGGGGGAGGGTCAACATCACACGTGCATCTCAAAGCCTGCCTTTCCCTAGCTGGGTCTGTTATTCCTGGTGGGCAGAGCCCTAGGCCTTGCCTTGCCCACAGGTTGGGGCACACAGGCAGGGTCTTCCCTGACAGCCATTCTGGGGCACAAAGGAGGTGGCTGGCCCAAGGCTGGTGTGGGGTGTATGTTGTAAGAAATGGGGTAGGCCACCAGACCCAAGGTGACCTCTATCAGGGAGAGCCCATTGAGAGGACTGGAACCTGGGTCCTGGATGGGGAGCCAGGACTCGGGAGCCAGTTCTTCATGGGAGCTAAAGTCAGAGCTGGAATAGTCCCATGTGAGAGAGGAGCCTGGAGTTAAGGTTAGGATGGCCCTGAGGCTGAATGGTAGTGGGTGCCGCAGGAGTGGGAAGGTTTAGGTGACGTCTGGTATCACTGCCACTATGAGCTATGCAGAGGGGGCCTAATAAGTCCAGGGGCGGGACCGTCAAGACCCTGGGCCTGGACTGCCCTCTCTCCACAGTGTCTCTGAGCCACATTAGAGGTCTGCGCTTATGGCTTCAGCTCCTCCTTTAGGGCAAGAACCCAGGAAGTTATCTGGTCTGCAGCATTAGGTCCTGGCCAGGAGTACAAACTCAAATGCCCATGAGGCCAGGAAGGTGCCATTGGTGAGTGCAGCAGCCTGGAAGAGTTCCAAATGTCCTAGATGGACACAATTGAAGCTGGTGAGAGAAGTGGGTCATTCACCACCTGGAGGGCACGTGCCTGTTCCCAGGGCAGCAGGTGCTCACCTATGGCTATTGTTGTCCAGCGTGTGACCAGAACTTTGGATTTTTTCATGAAAAGCTGGACATCTGAATTTTTTTTTTTTTTTTTTTTTTTTTTTGAGACAGAGTCTTGCTCTTGTCGCCCAGCTGAACTGCAATGATGCAATCTCGGCTCACTGCAACCTCTGCCTCCCAGGTTCAAGCGATTCTCCTGCCTCAGCCTCTCGAGTAGCTGGGATTACAGCAATTATATGCCACCACACCCAACTAATTTTTTTGTATTTTTAGTAGAGATGGGGTTTCACTATGTTGACCAGGCTGGTTTCAAACTCCTGACCTCAGGTGATCCGCCCACCTTGGCCTCCCAAAGTGCTGGGATTACAGGTGTGAGCTACCGTGCCTGGCTGAAATCTGAATTTTTAAAATTCAGTAAGCCCTCAGTAAGCCACGCCCCAGGACACCCCCAGAGGCAGACGCCCTTTGTTAGGAGCTACATGGTCGTCGTTCCCACCATCCCCCAACACTCAGGAAAGGGGCAGGGACTGTTTCAGGACATCGACTCCTTTCTTGGGCCCATCCTGGGTGGACAGCCACTGTCCGTGGCCCCTTTCTGCACGGACTGGGGTTCCTTTCTGAGTATGCAGAGGGTGGCAACAAGGTCTCTTTCTGAATTAAAAAAAAAAAATTAAAAACAAACTTAAAAAACAAAATTGAAAAAACCCCAAATCCCAGGATGGAAGAATAAATACAATCAACAAAAGTTCTGTTATTTATAAATGGAAATTTTTGCCATTAATAATGATGTGATACTAAAAATTTTTAATGCATATTGATTATAAGGTTTTACCAATTTTTAAATGGGACACTTTGCTTTATATTGCTAAATATAAAACAATATAAAACAAATTTGGACAAGGCTGTCCAAATTTGGGTAATATTTGCTTAACTGCAGTGTCATAATGAAAGTAGCTTGGTATTTTCAAAATTGGATTCTAATTTCTGGCCAGTTAAAGTTCTCAAGGAGAAAAAATTTTAACAACAGAAGGTCTAAGGAATGCATGGTCAAAACAGGAAACACCCAGTGGGCAGGTGACATGGGCGGAACCTCCAGGGAAGGTCAGGCACGCTCAGACTTTGTTCTGCACCTGGCTGTGATCCCTGCTCCTTCTCATAATCCAGTGTGTCTTTTCTTTGACTTCTAGTTAGCTTCAATCTGTGAATTCAAGTACCAACTTTGTTTTTGTTTTCAAAATCTTGAACTCTGGACCACTTTCGGCATGCTGTTTTAAGAAAGTAGTTCACTTTCTGAAAATGGTTTTAATTACTTTGCTATTCACGTGGAAGCATAATTTGCACATTCAGCCAATTTTTGCAAATAACTTTCCTCTGTTTCATATTGTTTCAAGCCTAGAGGAATAATAATTTCTTGTTCCAGGAGATACTGTTTTCAGTCATTAATTGGTGATTTGATTAAAAAACAAATTCTGCCTTCTGCCTGGATCATAGTGATCCCCAAGGGGCTGTTCTGTTGTTTGCAGATCTGAGATATCAATACTCTGTCTCCCTAAACCTTCAGGATAGTCTGCTGCATACACAGTAACCTGTATCAATGTCTGGCTTCTTTCTTTGAAGGTAAAAAGAGGGTGTGCTCTGTGCCTCATCACCATGGTACAAAACAGGATGGCCCCTGCAGCTTGGTGAGAAGATCACTAAACTGAACTAACTTCATAGGATCTGGTTTTTGGCAGCAGATGTAACCATGAGACTAGAAGGCCCCAGGAATTCATAAACTTCCTGGCATTGAGCTGGGCTCGTCCATGGGGTGCGGACTGAATTCAAACGGATGTCCCTAGGTCTCAACAAGCAGAGTAATCACTGCTGTCTGACTTGCACTGATAAGTTTTAAGTCTAATCTGAATTGGGGCTTGCTGAATCTCAAAGATGTCAACCAAGTCATCAGAGAAACCAAAATTCTCCTAACCCAAAATTACCTATGCTAAGATTCACTAGCAGGCAAGTTTTAGCTCAAACTCACGGTGAAGTCCCTGTATTCTGGTTGCCAAGTGGCAGTGTGAGAAAGCAGCCAGCACCACTGCTCGCTAACAGGAGGGCTCACACCACAGTTTGATTTCCACAGGCTGAGGTCTCCTAGGTAGCTCCCTTCCTGGTCTCTGGTGTCACTGAAGGAAGCTCCACAGTGAGAGTAATTGTGGCTCTTTGAGTACCACTGGGCATAGCCAGTGTAAATCTATCCCCCAACTGGTCATCAGTGGATGTGACCCTTCTTAATTCTCACCAAAGACAAAATCAAGCTGTGTCAGGAATTTATTCCTTCTGGTGGGTTCTCGGTCTTGGTGACTTCAAGAATGAAGCTGTGGACCTCACAGTGAGTGTTACAGCTCTTAAAGGTGGGCGTCTGGAATTTGCTCCTTCAGGTGCGTTCATGGTCTCCCTGACTTCAGGAGTGAAGATGCAGACCCTCCCCTTGAGTGTTACAGCTCTTAAACGTGGCGCGGACCCAAACACTGAGCAGCAGCAAGATTCATTATGAAGAGCAAAAGAACAAAACACCCACAGTGCAGAAAGGGACTGGTTGCCACTGCTGGAGCAGGTGGCCAGCTTTTATTCCCTTGTTTGGCCCCGCCCATGTCCTGCTGATTGGTCCGTTTTACAGAGTGCTGCTGATTGGTCCATTTTACAGAGTGCCAATTGGTCCATTTTTACAGAATGCTGATTGATGCATTTACAATCCTCTAGCTAGACACAGAGCACTGATTGGTGCATTTACAATCCTCCAGCTAGACAGAAAAGCTCTCCAAGTCCCCACCCGACCCAGAAGCCCAGCTGGCTTCAGCTTTCAAAGCAGTTCCAGGTTCATGATAAAACCCAAGTGAAAATCCATTTGATTAAAAACTCCCCTTCTCCATTTTCTTTTTTGTTTAAATTGGGACAGCAAAGAGAATTTACAACAACAAATCAAAATGAATTCCAAACCAACCTCCTCTTCCCTAGTAAACAATGAGAAAGTGTCCCACAGTGAGCTCTTCTGGCCAGGGTGGCAGTGCCAGCATTGCCCATTGGCCACATCTCTATCATCCTGCTGTGCTCCTTGTGGCTTTTCCCATCCCCACCTAGCCTGGGAACACTCTGGAAGAAAGGATGCCAAATTGGCAGGAAGGACTCTGAACTTCTAGGCAAGTCTGCCCTGTATAGGTGAAGAGGTGGAGAAGTAATTGCCCTTCCATTACCCAATGCGGGGCTGGAGGCATGAAGCATGTACTCTGGTCATGGCTTCCTGTTTTAGCCATTTCCTCATTAGCAGGTCACCATTTGTTTGATGCATGCTATGCGGATGTGCTTTGGTGTCTGGACAATGCCAGACCAGTGTCCAGGGGCCCACACAGAAGGAGAGCAGACTGGCCCTGTGTCATTCCCTTGGGGAGGCAACGGCCTTCCCAGACCCCAGGGCCCCAGGTTCCTAGAAATTCATTGCCCATTCATTCCTTCAGCAGACGTTTACCCTCTGGCCAGTTCAAGTCATTCTGAGGACCTCCAGGATGCACTAGCTTAGGGAGAAGAGGCAGCAGCCCACTGTGGTTAAGAACAAGACCTCTGGACCCAGACAGCCTGGGTTCAACCCCTTGTTGTGGAATCGCTCACGGTGTGACTTTGGAAAGTTGCCCAACTTCTATGCTCCTGTTTCCCCATCATAAAGTGAGCACAATAAGTGTGGCCACCTCATAGGGCTGTGGTAAGGACAGAGGGAGTTAATTTTTATTAGGCATTTGGAACCAGCTGAGTGACTGACACTCTGGCTGTCATTTGATCATTTCTTGGTATATCTCTTCAATCATCTTGGGTTCTTGTAGCCCCTTACTAATTTCATTTATTCGTGGTAAATATTTACCCTGTATATGCAAAGCTCTGGGCACTGTCTAGGTGCTGGGGATGATGGTGACCCCCTGAGAGTCTCATGGAGGGAAAAAGAGGTACATATCCTAACATAAATGACCCGTGTGGTATGTGCCACCAAGAAGAGAACTGGGGGCCATGGGAACACATGACAGGGCCCTGACTGAGTGTGGGGATTTCAGGAGAAGGGTGTCCCCGAGTCAGGGACTTCCCTGGAACTGTAGATCCACATGCTTGGTTCTCTAAAGTGCTAGCATGAGACTCCTGTGCTTTTCCTTATGGGAAAAATAAACTTAAGGGTTGATGCCAGACCTCAGTGCCCCCCAAAGCCATGACCTTTTGTAGCAGGGAAGAGGGGGGTGGGAATCACTTTACCTTCTG
The DNA here is from genome assembly GCF_000001405.40 of Homo sapiens. NCBI lineage: Eukaryota > Metazoa > Chordata > Mammalia > Primates > Hominidae > Homo > Homo sapiens. The sequence goes on from NW_021160001.1 coordinate 105,899, forward strand.
GACAGGAATGCTTCCTTTGAGGTTTTTTTTCTATCTCCAATCTAAGGCTCCAACCCCAGAAGCCAAAACCAATTCTTGCTGTGATAAACTTTGCCAAGATGTAACCAACCCCCAGGAAGACATAATTACACTGTACTTAAGTAATTGCTGTTATTACCATCTCAGTTTGAAGAGCTACAATTGAATTACTTCCTTTGTTTATTTTTATTTTCTAAACTTTTTTTTTTTTTTTTTTTTTTTACAGCTATAGTGGATATCCTGCCAGGGCAATAATAGTAGTTTTACCTTCTTTTTCTTTTTTAAAGAGCTGCAGTGGTTCCAGATTGATGATCCTTCATAATTTAGTTATTCTTCTCCCTATAGATGAAACTTTGGATTGTTTCCAGGTTTGCTTGTTTGTTTGCTAACATAAACAATTGTACAAGGAGCATACTCGTATACATCTATTTTTAAGTATGCTACAGTCTTGTTGGTTATTGTGGTCAGTGTCTGTTCTGATCAGGGCATGCTTGTGATGTAAGAGTAACTTAATGTTTTGATTATGATCCCTGGCCTTTTCCAGAAGTGGCATCCAAGGGCATCCAGATTAAAATGTCAGCAGTAACTGTCAGGTTAATTCTCAAAATCATTGTAGCAATTTATAGTGTCATCAAAATTAGACTACTGGTACCAACATTTTAAACATTTGCTAAACTGATGAATTTTAATTTGCATTATCCCAACACTGTTGTCTTGTAACATGCTATTGTTCATTTGTATAATCTCTTCTGTTAATTGCCCTTTGTGTCCTTTATCTGTTTTATAGTCGTCTTTTTATTATTAATTTCATAAACTTTTCATATCAGGGATATAAACCTTTTGTCTATTTTAAGTATTGCAATTATTTTCTTCTAGTCTAGTAAAAAACTGTTTAATGGCTTACAAAATCAGGAGTTTAAAAAGTTTATGTAACCAAATTTATCAAGTTAGTTTTTCTCTTTATGGGCTCTAGAGTTCCTGTTTTTTGTTTTGTTTTGTTTTGTTTTGTTTGTTTGTTTTTCGAGACAAGGTCTGGCTCTATTGCCCAGGCTGGAATGCAGTGGTGGGATCTTGGCTCACTGCAACCGCCACTTCCTGGGCTCAAGCCATCCTCCCACTTCAGTCTCCCGAATAGCTGATACTACAGGCACACACCACCATGCCTGGCTAATTTTTTTTTTTGAGATGGAGTTTTGCCACGTTGCCTAGACTGGTCTCAAACTTGTGAGCTCAAGTGATGCTGGGATAACAAGCATGAGCCATTACACCTCGCCTAGGTTTCCTATTTTATTTAAGTAGAAATCCTCATTGTAAGGTTACACAACATTTTCTTATAATATAATATATATGTGTGTGTGTGTGTGTGTGTGTGTGTGTGTGTGTATTTATTTATTTATTTACATTTAGCTATTCAATCTATCTGGAAATTTTGTACATGGTATGTGATAGGAATTTAACTTTATTTTCTTTAAAAATGGATAACCAGATGTGTCAATATATTTTTTAAGGAACTCATCCTTTCCTCACTGACCTATAGTATGACTTCACCATATAATAGATTTATACATCTGCTTGGATCTGTTCCTGTGCTTTAATTGTCTGGTCCTTAGCTAAGTGAATGACTCAGTCTCATACTGACCAGAGATAGAGATAGGAAGGAGAGCCTTGGGGGGCCCTTCCTCCTGCTGGGGGCTTTATCCCTGCCTCCTGGAAGACCACCAACCCCCCTGCATGTTCCTGCTCTGCCCAAGTCCATCTTGAGACCCATGTCATTGGGAAGCCATTGTTTCTTTTGTCGGTGGGATTCAGGGAGATTGTCCAAACTGGCCGTCATTCTTAATTAGGGCATTCTCTCTGCTCAGGCATCAGAATCCCTTTCCTGAGCTTACACTATAAAATCCCCAGGGTATGAGACCCCAGTCAGGCACAGATTCAGGGTTAAGCCATCCTATCTCTCCAAATGGTAAGCTCCTGATGGTGCTTCATCATCATGAAGAAGATGATCTGTCTGAGTATTGAGGACTGCCGACTCACTAAAATTTACCCCCAGGCCCTGGGCTTCCTTATCAGTGACCTTGGTACCCCATTCTCTAGTCTGAAGTTACTGAGAGAAAGAGAGAGAGAGAGCACGCAAACGACACCCAGAGTGCTGAGAAGAAAGGCAAATAGCTTCCAACGGCAATGCAGGGTCTCGGTATGTGACTGGATAAGAGGAAGAGTCTGGGTTCAGCTCCATCTCTGTCACCTACCAGCTGCATGACTGTGGGTAAGGTATTTCACCTTTTGGAGTCTCATTCCCTCAATAAATTGACTAGAATTAAATACCCAGTCCAGCATCTGGTGCCCAGAAGATCCTCAATAGGGGTCAGCCCCCACCTTCCTTCCAGAGTTTGAAGTCAGAGCTCTGGCCATATCTTTTCCAGATGGAAATTAGTGTCCCTTCCATTGCTTGCCCCATAGGATCTCCAAGGAATGGTTTCTGTTGCATGCTCTCAGTTGCCAAATGTGCTCCTTCCCTCCCTCTCCTTCTCTCTTGGGAGAGCAGAGGTGGATTTTACAATTCCTGCTCCTGGTGTGGTCCTGTGAAGGCAGATGCACTTCCACAAGGATTCCTCTGCTTTCCAATGATGGGAACAGAAAATCCAATCTTGGGACCTCAGGCCGTGGGAGGGATGCTTGAGTAAACCAGATACCTTCATTCCATGCTATGACCTGATGGAGATTCAGAGCGATCACAAGCATATTCTGCTGGTGCCCTTCTTGAGAAGTGCTATGGCTTGAGCATTGCCTCCAAAACTCATGTTGTAATTTAATTGCCATTGCGATGATATTAAGAGGAGGGTGCTTTGAGGGGTGATTAGCTCATGAGGGCTCTGCCTGCATGAATGGATTAATGCTGTTATTGTAGGAGTGGGTTTCTGATAAAAGGATCAAGTTCGGCCCCCTCCCTTCTCTGTTTCATGTGCTTGCTTGCCCTTCCACCTTCTATCATGGGATGATGCAACATGAAAGCAGAGATGCTGGTGCCATGCTCTTGGACTTCACAGCCTCCATAATTGTGAGCCAAATAAATTTCTTCTCTTTATAAATTACCCAGGGTATGGTATTCTGTTATAGCAACACAAAACAGCCTAAGACAGGAGGGCTCAAGGAAAAGGAGAGCAATCCCAGGTAGGGTTAGCATCCACAGGAGCACTGTGGACTAAAGCCCTGATAGAGTGACTATCTGAAAAGTACTGACAGTATCAAGCAGCCTCTGCTGATGACCTTTGGTATCCTGAGCAAGCAACTCAAACTTTCTGACTTTCAGTGTCAGACAGCATACTTTACAGAGTATACTCTGTATGAGGATTAAATAGGTGCATAGTCCATAGGATACAATCAATGAGGACTGAAGCAATAATAAACATATAGGCTGTGAATACTATAGTTTGGTAAATGGCAACAGGGTGGTACAAGAGAAAAGCCAAAGTTTAAAGTGTGTTTAGATTGCAAATATTCCTGACAAAAGGAACATATTAATTAAAATTTACCCACTCTAAGCTATAAAAGTTGATTTCCTTAAAGATTAAAAAAAATTCAAAACAGTATAAACCTTTTAGAAAATTTAGGAATATATGAATGAAAATAAATAATACACAGTTATTACTTGATGACAACCAGTCAACATTTTGCTTTATTCCTTTTCATTCAATTTCCTATTATTTGAAAAAAAAACCTTTAAATGTCTTTGAGATTGATACTGTATATGAAATTTTATAGGATCCATATTAAAATAAATTTACCACATGTATTTTACACTACAAAGTAAACATTTAGAATTTTGAATAGGCCAGGCACAGTGGCTCATGCCAGTAATGTCAGCACTTTGGGAGGCCAAAGCAGGCGGGTCACTTGAACTCAGGAGTTCAAGACCAGCCTGAGAAACATGGTGAAATCCCATCTCTACAAATAAATAGAAAAAAAAAAAAAAAAAAAACAGACAGGATTGGTGGTGCATGCCTGCAGTCCCAGCTACTCAGAAGACTGAGGCAGGAGGATTGCCTGAGCCTGGGGAAGTCAAGGCTGCAGTGAGCCATGATCATGCCATGGCACTCTAGCCTGGGCAACAGAGTGAGACCCTGTCTCAAAACAAAACAAAACAAATTCTGAATAAACACCATGTTAGAGTCTACCCAATGTTGTATTACATTGCTATAGTCACTTCATACTACAAAATGAATGTTTAATAATTCTGGTTAAACACTGTTTTAGAGCCTGTCCAATGTTGTATCCCATTGCTATATTTACTTAACCAGTTCCATATATTGTAAATTGAAATTGTTTTCAATTTTCCACTTTTGTAATTAGCAAGATGATAACATTTTCTTGCATTGAGCTTTGTGACTTTTGTATTTTAGATTTCTCTAGGATACATTGCTGAGACTGAATGCCTGGGTCTGAGGGATGAACATTTTTAATGTTTTGATATAAATGGCTAAATTGCCTTACCAAAAAAAGCATTTTCAGTTTATATTCCTACTATCAACACTATGAAAGTACCCATCTCCTTGCATCTTATGAGCATCACATATTACTATGTTTATAAATGTATAGGGTTTTCATGATTTATTTTGCTAATTTGATTGATTTAAAATGTACAGAGAGCAAATTATAATGGAGAGAGGGTAGTAAGAAGGGATGCAGGCTGAAGGCGAGATGGAGGATATAGGAGAGAAGCCTGGTTCTTCAGGTTGTTCTTCTGCTTTTCTTGCCTGGGAGAGGGGTAGAAAAGGTTGCCAAAGCTACTCTGTTTTCTTCCTCTTCTTTGGGTAGGGTGGGGGTGGTGAAAGCAGGAGGGAGGAACAGAAGGTTCATCTCCATGGGAGAAGGGCTAAGCCTTGTTGCATGCACAGGCTTCTGCATAGGTGAGTGAATCATGACTAGTATCAGGTCCAACTAGGAAGAGCAGTGCCCGACCTGTCAGCGTATGGTCAACAGAGTATTGTACTGCCTGAGCTGGGGAGCCCCAGCAGATTCTGTGAGCTGTGGGCCAGCAAGGGCCAGGCCATGGGATGGAACAGAAAGGTTTGGGCTGCCCCTTGTGGTCCAGCTAGTATCTGCTCTAAGAATCCTTAGATGGAGTTATGGATGATGGTTTTGCTTCCAGGCACAGGCCAGAGCAAAAGGCAGCTTCCCATGGACCAAGTGTCCTGGCATCCCCAGTTCTGTGGGGCCCCTCACCCTTCTGTGGCCACAATGTTGTCTTTTCCTATGCAGGTGGCAAGTGGGGTTCTTGAGTGGCAGAGCTGAGCTGTGGCCATTCCCCAGTTTCCTGGTACCAGGTGTGGCAGCCCTATTCCTCTGGGAGCAGCATGTTGCCAGAAACTTCTCTGCTCCCTGTCTTGCTCTCCACAAATGCCCCACCTGTACCATGCCTTCCTCTTATGCTCAGTGAATAGCTCCTGCCCTTCTAGTTGTCCTACCAGGAAGTGACACCTTCCTCTGATTGGAGTGCCCTGGCTTGATGGATGGTAATTCTCTGAATAGTTGTCCTTTGGGGTGAAATGGGGGCTATCTGTGCATAGGTGCTTGTGAGAAGGGCAGCTGGCCCTGATGCAGCTGCAGCACACAGGGTGAGGGTACTAACAGTGTTCACCCAGTCCCAGCTGTGCAACCCTGAGTGGGGAATGCTTCACACTTCAGCCACTGGAATTCTCACAGAACCCTTGCACAAGTATCTTCATTTAATGGAAAACAGACTGAGGCAGAGCTGGAATTTAAATCCAGGTCTGCCCAATGCCAAGTCCACATCCTGTCTATGAAGCCATCCTTGTGGCCTTTGCATTGCCCCCATCTTTGCCATTCCAAGTGGTGTCCTCCAGTCAGTCCGAGGTGGGCCCTCAGAAGGGAGGCCAGCTGCTGAGCGGGAGAAGAGAGATCTCCCTCATGTGTCCTGGCTCTAGTGCCAGTGTGCCACATCAGCCCTTTAAAGCCGAAGTTTTATCATTGTTAAATAGGTTTGTGCTCTTCAGAGATTGCTTCCTAAACTGCAAAGCGCAAAGGATGAGGACTCCCAGTCTGGTGGTGGGGAGGAAAGATGGGTCAACAACTAACGCCCTGGGCTGGAGGGCTCTGCCTGGTTTGCGGATTCCCCTCCCCACACCGTGCCCAGGGCCAGCTGGGCCCTGCAGCAGCCTTTTCATTCCATTGTCACAGGGAACTCCCCCCTCCTGACCAGGCCTCCTCCTTTGCTTGGCTCGCGCACCTCACACTGGAAAGCATGACTTCAAGCCTACTCCGAGTAATGAGGGAGGCCTCCTGGCAGCATCTGCCATGACTGCCAGGGGCCAGCAGATTTGCGTGGCTCACCCTGATTCACCCGCATGGGCTCAGAGCCTCTCCCTCTCTTTGGTGTGTGCTTTGAGGTGAGCAGAGCAGCTGGTTGGAGAGCGCATCCAATGACTGTTCAGAGTTGCTCCTGTGGTCCCGCTTCCCAGCTCTCTGTCCTGGCTGGCATGACTCCTTTGAAACGGTTCCCAGGCGATTCCTGGAAATGGGGGTGCTCGCTTTTTTGAAGTCAGAGGTGATACTGAACATATGTAACACCTAGCCATGGTGGGGCTCCGCTCGGCTGACTCCCCAGGGCAGGAAACACAGCCACCAGCTAAGGTGTCCTCACCTGTCCTGAAGAGAAAGGCTCAGGATCCTTCAGGTTGAAGGATCTCTCCACTCAAACACACACACAGAACACACATCACACACAGACGCCACACACCACACACACACACCACCCATTTCACCACACACATCACACACCACAGAATACACCACACACACACCACACACATGCCAAACACTGCACCACACACTGGACCACACACACACTACACACGCCACACACACCATATACACCACACACACACCACAGAATATACCCCCCTCACACACCACACATGCACATCACACAATGCACCACACACACTGCACCACACACACACACTACACACACCACACACTACACACACCACACACACCACAGAATACACCCCCCACACACCACACACATCACATACAGACACACATACTAACACCCCATACAGTACACCCTATACACATACCACACAATACAGCACAAACACACCACATATACACACCACACATCACAGCACACCACACACACACCACATACACATAACACACAGCATACACACACCCCAAACAGTACACCACACGTGAAACACATGCCACTCACATACCCTACACAATACAACACACACACAAAATACACACACAGCATACACACATCACACACACCACATAACACAGCACGCACTACACACCTCACACACCACACATACCACACACACTCTACATAATACGTCACACATACCACACAACACGCACACATCCACACAATATACCACATACACACCGCACATACACCATACTCACATGTGCCACACACATACCCCACATGATATATCACATAAACACACACACACTTAATTTGGCATAGTCAGCAAGATAAGTGAGTACAGTACCTGCACGTGAAATTGGCATTTGGAAGCCCCGGGATGCTCCTGGGGACGGAGGACTGCGGGGAGAAGACAATGTGACTGGGGAGCACCGGCCATTGGGGAGGAGATGGTGCGACCGGGGAGAACCAGGAGTGCTTGGAGGGACACCCCAAGAAACGGGTTTCCATGCCCTGTGTGATAGCAAAGGTGCTCCTTAGACCCATCCTGTGCTCAATCTAGGACTGGAGTGCCAGAAACCAGACCTAAAGGCATTGGAAGGGAAATACAGAGATCCTAGCACAAGGAGTGAACAGTGAGGGGAAGAAGGAGCCTCCGAATAGGCCTGGAGACTGGAATTGCCAGCGTTACACATTTCTAAATTGTTTTTCTGATGCTCTCTCTAAGAGGGGAGGCACTATCACTCTTGGATAAAGGCACAGTGTTACAATGTCCTTCTGATGGCACACTTGCCCACCTTAGCTTTAACCTCACAGAAGGTGTGCTTCTGCCAATTGCTATGCATTGACCAGCAGTCATAGTGGAGCTGACACCAAGGAGCTGTTTTCTTTGCCTCTGATTCCTTCTCAAAATTGCACCAAATATTTGCCATGGCTTCTGGCTGGAAGTAGGAATGTTGTTCTGAACAATATTATGGGGTGGCGGTGAGATGGACTTGAGAGGCATCCCGGACTCATGACTCGTCTCTTTCCCTGCATCCCCAGAATCCTGTCACATTACTCTTAATGGTCCAGAAAATACAAGGACTCCTCGAAGGATGAAAGAAGGGATTTGGTGAGCAGAGGAAACTATAACCCACACTGTGTGCAGTGGAGGACCAGTGAGAAAGTGTGGGGGGCTTATGGAGTGCTTCCAGCAGGGAAGAGGCACGTAGAAGGAGCAGAGGGCCCTGGAGCCACAGCAGGCAAACCTCTTGGGAATATGAGACAAAATACTACACATACGAAGCCACATTTGTTCATTCTCCTTGCCAGCAGAATTTTACGAAGCCCCTGACTCAGTGGCTGAGTGCAGCCCTCCAGAAGAATGCCCTGAAGATGATAAGCAGGATAGAGCACAGGCTGCCATCTCTCTTGCCTAAATCACTACATTTTAAGAAAAAGATAAGTTCAATGATCCTAGCTTTTGCCTCTTCTTGTACATAAGACAATGTTCAAGAGGATTAGAGATTATGCTTCTATAATCTATAACCAGGTGCACCCAAACATTGAGGAGATTCTGCTCTAATGTAACTTCTGAGCACATGCAAAACCTCCACCGCCAGTATAGAAGCTGTGGGCTGCCACATTGCTTTGGAGCAGTCTAGCAGAAGTTCTGTGAAAGGCTCTCCTGGGTTGCAATCCTCAGTGAGACTTCTGAATAAAACTAACTTTAATTATCGAAAAGCCTGATTTTTTTCTTTCATTGACAGGAACCAGAGTTGAGATTGTTGGCTCTGTCCTCCTTCACCCAGCAGCAGGCAACTTTGGGAGCGGGCACTTGAGTAGGAGTGTGAAGGTAGCCCCAGAAGCACTGGGGACCTCCCATGCATAGAACACTAACTACTGGCACACTCAGCCCAGTAGAATTCTCTCCACCTCCCCAGCCCTGGAGACAGCCTTCACTGCTTGCAGGTAACAAAGATAATGCTCACTGAAGGATCTCAGAGAACCTTAGGTCAAAGACAGGTATTCAAACAAGACATAAACAATTGTGAAAAAAGTCACAATTGAATACCAGCACCAAGGAAATAGAGTTAATTGAATGAAGAGATTTTATTTATTTATTTATTTATTTATTTATTTATTTTTACTTTTTGAGATGAAATCTCTCTCTGGCGCCCAGGCTGGAGTTCAGTGGCGCGATCTCGGCTCACTGCAACCTCTGTCTCCCGGGTTCAAGCGATTGTCCTACCTCAGCCTCCCGAGTAGCTGGGATTATAGGCGCAGCACCACCATGCCCGGCTAATTTTTGTATTTGCAGTAGAGACGGGGTTTCACCATGTTGGCCAGGCTGGTCTCAAACTCCTGATCTCAAGTGATCTGCCTGACTCGGCCTCCCAAAGTGCTGGGATTACAGGCGTGATCCACTGTGCCCAGCCTGAAGAAGAGATTTTAGAAGAAGGAAATATCTCAAGAGGAATGAAAGTATATCAAGAACAAGTGATTATAGAAATGAAATAATTAGATCTTGGCAATGAAAGATATGATTGTCAAAATAAACTAAATAACTTAATGATTAGGATTAGTATCATGATAACATACATAGAGAATTAGTGATGTAGAAGAACAAGGCAAGGGATACTCCAGAATTCAGTGCAAAAAGATAGAAAGGCTGCTAGTGGTCTACCAGATTCCAGTTTCCTCTTCTTTCAGAGTACAAGGCTGGACTACATGCAGGTTGATATGGCCACGTGGCTAAATTCTGTCCAATGAATGTGAGTGGGGGGTCTGTGTGCTGCTGATGAACTAAGGGCGTGCCTTCTCCCTGCTGTCCTGCTTCCCACTGCCTATAGCCAGCTCTGCAAGCAGGTGAGGATGGCACACTAGAGATGTCAGAGAAATGGAATGGAGGGAGCTTTGAGCTTGTCAATGTCAAATAAAAGATAAAATAAAAGATTAGAGATGAATGTCTAAATTTAAAACATTTTATTTGGAAGCAAGAATTGCAAATTGGGGCATACACACAGAGTGGGTAGTCTTAGGTCTGTTCAAAGAACAAAGAAAAGATGGGAGGTTTTACAAAAAGGATAAATGTTATGTATCATTTGAAAGAAAGTTATTTTGCATTAGTAAAGTTTTGGAGAGCTGGTGGCTCTGACTAGTGAGGGATGGTGGTGGGTAGAGTCACAGCAGATTGTTTTAGTAGCTGTTAGATAAAACTGGTTTCAGGTTACAACAGGAAGCTTCAGCAGTTGAGCTTGTGAAAAATGTAATTCTTGGAGCAGGTGCTATGTGCCTCAAGTAATTTTCCCCGCCGGGCCCTTCAATTTGGATTTAGTCAGGTGTAATAGGAATGGCCCAATTTGCATAATCTTCTTTCTTATGGCTCCCTTTTGATCAAGATCTTTCTCCAAAACCATTGCTGATCAACCATACTGTCTTGGGAAAAGCTGTCTATCCCATGAAAAACATCAATTTCTCATTCTGGTGTGCAGTTTGAATGCCTCTGGTTATGGCATCAGGCCTTTTGGTGAACTTTCTGTGTGGCACATACATCAGTCATGAGACATGTTCCTTAAAATTTGTCTACTTTCAGCTTTAGAAATAGAACAGTTCATGTTTTGGTAATTTTATGAGGGAAAGTTGGATTAGAGGAACCCAGAAGAATTTAGGTCTATACTAGTCTATAGGTAAATAGCAAGAACTCAAACACAATGTAGAGTTATCATTTATTAAGAGGCATATTATAACTTTAGAAACACAGGTTTTAAAATTTTTAACATTGATCACGTAAGAACCTCAGATTTAAAACTTTGAGACTGGGAAGCCAAACTGAGGCAGACTTTAGATTTTGCTTACAGTTTTAAGGTTCCTGTGCCAGGAAATGACAATTTTAATGTACTCATTGTAAGGCTGGTAACCCTTGAAGTCAGGCATTTTGTGCATTCTTCAAATATGACATTTTAGTCAAAGCCTTGGTAATATAATCAATTATATTCTGCTATAGAAAGAGAATGGATTTTTTTTTTTTTTTTTTTTTTTTTTTTTTTAGATGTGGTCTCGCTCTGTCTCCCAGGCTCACTCTCCCAGGAATGCAGTGGCATGATCTTGGCTCACTGCAATCTCTGCCTCTCAGGTTCAATCAATTCCTGTGCCTCAGCCTCCCGAGTAGCTGGGATTACAAGTGTGAACCACAATGATCAGCTAATTTTTGTATTTTTTTTTAGTATAGATGGAGTTTTGCCATGTTGGCCAGGTGGGTCTTGAGCTCCTGACCTCAGGTGATCCGCCCGCCTTGGCCTCCCAAAGTGCTGGGATTACAGGCACGAGCCATTGTGCCCCGCTGAAGAGAATGGATTTTCATTGCACTTAGGCAAATAATCATATTGCCATAAGAATACTCACAAATAGTTTTTGAATTCTGGAAGAATCAAGTAAGGAGAAAACACCAAATGCTTTTATCTTTGTTTAAAAAAGTATACTTTATCAAATTGCTGTAAATTATAGATAAAGAGAAATTTTTTCCTTAAATCTGGAGAACAAAATATTTAAGACAAGAATCAACAATGTTTTAAATAAAAGTTATAAAAATATTATTTTTTTTTGAGATAGAGTCTCGTTTGGTCACCCAGGCTGAAGTGCAGTGGCATGATCTCAGCTCATTATAACCTCCGCCTCCTGGGTTCAAACTATTCTCCTGCCTCAGCCTCCTGAGTAACTGGAATTACAGGTGCTCACCACCAGTGTTCCTCTGTTGTCCAGGCCGGAGTGCAGTGGCACGATCTCAGCTCACTGCAAGCTCCGCCTCCTGGGTTCACACCATTCTCCTGCCTCAGCCTCCCAAATAGGTGGGACTACAGGTGCCCACCACCATGCCTGGCTAATTTTTTGTATTTTTAGTAGAGATGGGGTTTCACTGTGTTAGCCAGGATGGTCTTGATCTCCTGACGTCGTGATCCACCCATCTCGGCCTCCCAAAGTGCTGGGCGTGAGCCACCATGCCTGGCCAAAAATATCTTTATCAATTACTTAATTCATGTAATTAATTTTTGTCCTGATTGATCTTGATTACTAGTTTCATGAACCCATCAATTTATTTAGTAGAGATCTGGACATTTTTATTTAGTCTATTGATCTTAAAGTTAACAGAAACCTGTATTTAAGAGTATTTATTAGAATCTTTTCCATTAATCTGATTGTAAATGTTTTTAGAGAAGAATTCAAAACTGTGGATGACAAAAACTTAGAATAGCCATAGTTAAAAATCTGACGAAAGTTTATAATCAACAAGGAAATTTCGTTATTTCTATTATATATAGCATTTTAAGATAACCAGAATTATGACTAAGACATATTTCTATAAATTTGTTTATACTTTTTTCTTTTTTTCTCATCTGATATTTTTATAAATTTACAGAATTTTCAGAACTTTCATATCAACAACATACCAATAAATGCAACTAAAAGAAGATCTAGTATCACTTATCATTTGACAATGTTTTTTGTATGATTTACCAAATAACAGTAATCATTTAATATCCCCATCTACAAGATGAGAGGTATATCTCTTGAGACTTTCCAGGGACCAAATTAGAAAAATCCCAAGGTTAATTCTAGGTCATGAAGACTTAGGTTAGGATTTGATTTTGGGGAAGTTTGTCAATGATGTAAAAAACTTAAAATATTTGATTGAAACAGAATCACAGATCACTGAAAAATAATAGTCATTCACTTAACTAAAGTGATAGTCGAGGTTTCAGAAGCAATATAGAAAGTTACATGGATGTAAACACCTTAACCTTTTTCAATATCAGTTTTTCTAAGTAATCAAAAACCTAATAAAGACAACACAATAAATTATCTTGATAAAATGGTTTTTTTTTTTTTTTGGCTCAGTAACCAAAAAGTTAAAAAGAAAATCTGCAGAATGACTGTTTCTCCTTACCAGAATCTCACTAATATAACCTGTAAGTTGAACCTAATGAAAAATATACTTGATTTTAATCCCACACAGGAAGAATATGTCCAAGATTGTGAGTATACACTATATTATAGAAGAATGTAAACAAGAAAACTAGTACCTTGAGAAAGAAAATACATGGCTCTTAGTAACAGCATGGAAAAGCTTCCTGGTTACAATGGTACAATTCAGACATATTGAGAAAAGCCAAGAGTATAGAATCAAATTATATTGGAGGAAAACATTGCTTTTCTAGGCTTTTAAGAGAAACACTTCAGCATCAGACCATAATAGCAGAGGTAGAACTGGCGGGAAAAAAAAAAGATGTAAGAGTTGACAAAAAAGGTTGAAGGAGAGAATTATCACCCCAGCCAAGCAAAAAATACACCTTTTCAAGGGGAGAAAGTTCAGAAGGCAAGGATCTTTTGCTGCAAGTCATGTGCTGCAAGGTACAGCAGAAGTTGAACTTCTGAGACAAAAATTTGAGAAATTTCAAAAGGAAAACTTTACCTCAAGGAATGAATTACCATTGTAAATAAAGAGGACCATATTTTTAAGCCAAAACTAGGGAAATTAATTAGATCTCAGGAAATGTGGCAGATACTGACACTGGCTGCAGTTTAGAAGATTGTTGTTAAAAAAAACAGATTTTAGAATTAAAAATAAAACCCTTTTGCAATTTTATTAAGAGCAGACCAATACTTCAAAAAAACTTTGTTGTTCTAAATAGGGGGCCACATTTTTTTGGTTTAGTATTAGTGTATTTTTAGTATCAAATTTTAATCTTTAGAAACATTTATAAATAATTCCCTTCTAATTATAAACAACTTGATCATACACAAAATTTATTTCATAACTTCCCCCTTTATGAACCTTTTTATGACTTACTTGGACCATAGTTGACATACTTGTTTTTTTTGCTTTTTTCTATACGTCCTGTTTCTTAAATAACTAGTCGTTTTGCTTTAGGACAACAATTTACCACATAAGAGTCTTTCTCAAATAAATTATTTTTTTCATATTACTTATATTTTGATTAATAAACCTAAATATATTTAGTATTATTATAAAATTGAAGAAGCCAAGAACAAACTTGTATTTATTTAGCAATTTGTTGGTTTTTTCTTATTTGGATATGAACCGGACATTTAATGAGTACCTATTATTTAATTTACCATAACTTTAAGATTTTAGATTACATGAAAAGTTTATTTATAAATGTTTATTCTATTTATAGTCACCTAATCTTTTTAACAATTATATCTAGAGTTTATATGTATAATCATCTAATTTTTTTTAACAACTATATCTAGAGTTTACTATGAAAATTGAGGTATTAGAGCTAGTCATTAAGTTCTTTTATTAGCCAACTTGGTAGCCTGTTAATATCAAGTGTTTACCTAAGTAAGAGCCTTAAAGTTAAATAAATGGGTATTTGGTTGATAACTCACAAGCTATAGCTGTTTTTATTGAATCAACAATATTAAAATAATCTTACTTATCAAAGAATTGCACAAAAATCATTCTGTTTTAGGCTGGGTTCACAGCTTTATAACCTTAAAGGATCTAACAGAAGCAAATAAACTGTCTAATCAGTTCACCCAGGCAAAAAATATATGTTGACAATTTTGGGACATTTCTAATTTTATGTTATCAACAATTTTGAAGCCAATTAATATATCCAATATTTACTTAAGTCATGTGAACGAAAAAAATTTTTGTTCATTGCTGTATATTTTATATGAGTGCTCATTTATCTAAATAGAATTCTTTAAGGAATTTTTGGCCAGCTATGCCAGATTTTGCCATGTAGACACAACATAAAACACAATACATGTACATATGTGTAAACACATCTAAACACATATACACACACACCAAGATCTTACAGCATCAGCAGTAAGCAAATAACTGTGGAAATGACTTTAAATAGGCGTAGTTAAAAACAGAATTGACAAGAAAATTTGGTTATTTCTGTGGTTTACAATAACTTAACATAATAACTATGATTGATAGCATATACTCAGACATATTAGAATTTTAGAAACCCCATATAATTTTGGAACATATATTAATATCATTCACTAAAATATAGCCTGAAGAAGGTTAAACATTAGTTTTTATTTTGACAATGCTTCTCATGTAACTTAACATGTCAAATAATCCTGTTAACCTCTCTTTTGGATGCTTCAGGGGCCCTCTGTAGCACCTCAAAGTTAGAGGTCAGAAAAGACAATTTTGAAGCTGAAATTTGATTTTGGGAAGCTTATCAAATATGTTATTAAGGTTTAAAACACTTAATATTATGAAATAGAATCCCAGGTCAACATAAGTCATTCATTTAGCCAAAATGATGACTCAAAAATATAAAAGGCATAAACCTTTACTCATTGATGGAGGGAAGACTTAGCTTTCCAAACAATCTGTCTCGTCTTTCCCTTCTTTTTTTGGTAGTTTATTCAAAAGGCAAACAAAAATGTTTCATTTTTAAAAATATAGCATAAAAATCTTGTTCAAGAGAGAAAGCCAATTTTAGCATTGCATTAGTGCATTATTGATGTCAAACCCCATTCTTAATAAAACCTTATAGACAAATATGTTCAATTTTAATGTCTGACTATAAGATAAGATTCTCATAAGTCTTTTTTATAACCCTTTACCATTTTTGTTAAAGAGCAGATCAGTGCTCTAAGGAAACTGTTGTGGTTTTATTCCAATGTTCAATTTACAGAAAAAACTGAGTAATACCCCTTTAAATTTAGCCAATATGTTCATACATAGAATCTCTGTTACAATTAATTTTTCACAACTGTTTCACAACTTGTTCAAACCTTTAGCTTTATCCTAATTTAAAACAATACTTTAACCCTCTAAACTAGGCAAAAATTTACATTTCCATGCCTTGTTATAATCTTTTAGTAAAAGCACATTTTGCTTTCCTCATACACTTTGCATGTACAACTTTTTTTAGTAGTCTTAATTACATGTTACAATGTTAATTCTTAGCAATATTAATTTTTGGTGAAAACCCTGTTAAGTAAGTGATTTTAATTACGTACTAGGTTTGGAGCCTAGGACACCAGACAGAAGTACAGATAAGGTCTGACCCTTTTCAGCATAGCTAGGGGAGTGGTTAATTCCACATGTCCTTAGGTCTGACCTAGCTGTTAAGCAGGCAAGTTGAACAATTTTCAAAAGCCAAAGAAGCAGTTTATGACCTTAAAGCATTTAGTAAACCTAATATCTGACCTACCTAATTTATTTACTTATTTTATTTTATTATTATTTTTTTTGAGATGGAGTCTTGCTCTGCCGCCCAGGCTGGAGTGCAGTGTTGCGATCCTGGCTCACTGCAACCTCCACCTCCCGGGCTCAAGCAATTCTCCTGCCTCAGCCTCCTGAGTAGGTGGGATTACAAGCATGTGCCACCATGTCCGGCTAATTTTTGTATTTTTAGTAGAGATGGGGCTTTACCGCGTTGGCCAGGCTGGTCTTGAACTCCTGACTCCAGGGATCTGCCTGCCTTGGCTTCCCAAAGTGCTGTGATTATGAGCATGAGCCACTGCACCCAGCCTGACCTACCTAATTTAGACCAAATGTCTTTATTTTACCAGTAATCTTTAAAACTGTTTTTATTTCTCAGAGATTACTAAAGTCACGTGAACTACAAGGCATTACAGTTTTTTCTTTCAAAATATTTTATTTAAGCCTTATTTTTCTTTAAGCCAGTTACTTAGAGTTCATTTATATAAACATCACACACACGACACATATATAACTACACAGATAGAAAAAGATCCACTAGTTGTAAGATTTTTCATTTGCCAGTTTTTAAGTTTCTTAATTAGATTACTGGCTTCAGGGTGGGGTCCTTCAAGGAGCAGGGCCAGGAAAGGATGCGGTTTCTAGGACCTAATAAGGAGGCACAACTGAATGACAAAAACAGATCTCCAAAATTAAGGGTCCCATTTTTATATTACATCCCAGATCCCTAAAAAGAGGAAAATGCTATAGAAGACAGTGCAATGCTTTTACCATGCATTTAATTGCATGGCAACCCAAAGCCAATCAGCCCATTTTGCAATCAGCCTGTCCCCCGTGAGAGTCAATTAATTTGACTCCTAGTAGGGGGTGGGGATTTTTCCGTACCTTCTAGGTGGCCAAGAGCATGCTTCTCTGATTCAAGCATGGTTAGTATCCCCCCATAACTGCCATTAACCATCTCTAAAAGTATATTTCCTACCTAGTTATTACACACGAAAGTTCTCTTATAATGCAAGTAATTTTTGATACCCCCAAAACTGAAAACCTTCAGATAACACAATGCAAAATCTATTTACTTTCAATTCCTGGGGTTTCATGAGGAAAATCGAGTTTTTTTCCCAAAACCGGGTCTATGGCACTTCCTCTGTTTTTCCTAAGGAGTCCCAGACTATTGGAAGTTATCTTAGGTCTTCTCATGTGTGCATTAAGTGTGGCAAGAAGACAAAATGGAGAAAAACAATTCAGTTGACTGAGAAGAAAAAACAAACAAACCTATTTTCTTCAGAAAAATAAGATCCAAGAAGGGAATAAAAACCCATAAAGGCCATTTAAATATACATATAGCTTGGATATATGTATCCAAGTCAGCTTTAATTAAACTGACTTTTAACCACAGCACTCACAAAAATGTTCTTTTAATTTCTCATTACTCTAGTTTAGCCAGGGCAAACAGCCAATATATCTGGCTTTTAAACTTTACCGTAAGTAACTCTACGAGTGAAACCAACAAACCTCAACTAAGGTTATGACTTAACCATGAGTGTATGAGGTATTTTCAATTTTTACAAAATTAAGAATCTTCAAAGGTAGCTCAGAGAAAGGAAAATTTAAGAAGGGAAGCCAGAAGTTGTTAATGGAGGGGAAGGGAATCAACAAACGGTAAAGGTCACAGAGATGTCCACCAGAATGTACTCATTCTGTAAGCTAGGATAGAACCCAGGCTGCCATTATAAAATGGCAAACCCTTAGCTGCTGAGCTAAAACATTGGGCAGTTTCCACTGCTTTTCCCACAAAGAGTCTAGAGCAATCAATTTTGAGCTTGCAATGGCTTTTAACTACTCAAAATAATTTTTAGAGCTAACTATGATATGAGCCCCAAAATTCCTTTTCCCTAGATGGCAGAGACCAAGAGAAAGTACTGCCACGCTGTTACAAGGTCAAGCTCCCCAGGACATAAAACAAGATGGAGACCTCATTCAGTTTTCTGCTTGTTTCAGGAATCTGTAGCAAAGTTTGTAACCATAGGCAAAAGCCTCTCAATTTTGCAAGTTGCCACCCAACTAGCTGCATGGAGGACCCAAATTAATGTTTTCCATTCTGGCCAGAGAAAAATACATGTGACAAAACATAGACATTAGCCACTCTGCTTAGCACCCACTATCGAACTTGTGAGGCTCAAACTTGCCCCCAGTTGGTCCCTATCATCTTTAATACATTCAAAGTGGATTAAAGGAGTTTCAACATGTGATCTTTGGGCAAGATGGACGCCCTTTTAACAGAAAAGAAAGGGAAAGAAGAGAAAGGGAGAAAAGCATTGCCTGTGGCAGAGTGGGGAAGATGAGGAGCTCAGGGAGGCCAGAGAAAGACCCACCCATTGCAGGGATGCTGAATCAAAAGTTCAGGCGGCTGATTGTTGGTCGTGAAGGATCTTTTCGAGCAGTCCCATCAGCTCCCAAATTTTCCCCTTTGGGGAGAAAAAGTTCCCCACGTTCTATGGCCTGGTACACGCCTAATCCTATCACCCACTGGTGTTAGCAAAGAGTGCAAGGCAGATCACTCCAAAGAGAATAGTGGTTAACCCCATGGTGCCAAATCCACGTTTAACAAAGAGGGACTTTACTGAGGGGGAAGGCCTCCAACCCAATCCCATCCTTTACCAGGTAAAATGAACCCACTACTCACCCAAAGTCAGCCCATTGGTGCTGCGGTCTATTTCCTTTGGATCGGGATCGTAACTAAGCTAAAAGGCTAGCAGATTTAATTTTTTAAGTCAATGAGTCGCATAAGCTTTCGATTTGCCTTTTGTAAAGTCTTTAAATAAAAATACTGAAATCTTTTTAGAAGCTTCTGCATATCAATAGACATCCCTAGATGAGACTAACTTGGGAGCCCTCATTTTCAAATGCACTTCAGTGCAGTTTTGTTCATTTGGAACATTCCACTCTAAGTTATCTTTAGTAAGATTTCACCATTTCTATAAGACTGCTGCTTCCGGGGCCTACCACTTATGCAGGTATTAGCCAGAAGGAACTCAGTTCTTCAGAAATTAAGGATCCAGGCCGGGCGCGGTGGCTCATGCTTGTAATCCCAGCACTTTGGGAGGCGAGGTGGGCGGATCACGAGGTCAGGAGATCGAGACCATCCTGGCTAACACGGTGAAACCCCGTCTCTACTAAAAATACAAAAAAAATTAGCCGGGCGTGGTGGCGGGTGCTTGTAGTCCCAGCTACTTGGGAGGCTGAGGCAGGAGAATGGCGTGAACCCGGGAGGCGGAGCTTGCAGTGAGCCGAGATCACGCCACTGCACTTCAGCCTGGGCGACAGAGCGAGACTCCGTCTCAAATTAAAGAAAAAAAAGAAATTAAGGATTCAATTTTTACCTCAGATTTTGGCTTTGCTCTCAGGTTCCTTTGATCAACCTAGCCAATGATTTTTCTCCTACCAAAGTGCATAAGAAAAATGAAACAAGGCCGGGTGCAGTGGCTCACACTTGTTATCCCAGCTCTTTGGGAGGCCGAGGCGGGTGGATCACCTGAGGTCAGGAGTTCGAGACCAGCCTGGCCAACATGGTGAAACCCCATCTCTACTAAAAATACAAAAAATTAGCAGGGCGTGGTGGTAGACGCCTGTAATCCCAGCTCCTCAGGAGGCTGAGGCAGGAGAATCACTTGAATCTGGGAGGCAGAGAGTGCAGTGAGCTGAGATTGCGCCACTGCACTCCAGCCTGGGCAACAAGGTGAGACTGTCTCAAAAAAAAAAAAAAAAGAAACAAAGGGGTAAAACACAAAAATCCCTGTGAATTTTCAATAGCCTAATTTTACACCCCTGCAATATTACCATTTACTACATTTCTTTCTGACCCAGTCAGATGTAAGAGGCCTCTAACTGTATCCAAGCCAGTTAATTACCAGATCAAATCCATTCCTTGAACCAGCCCAGTTTCTGTCATGACTTCCAAACCCAGTTTGGAACAGAAATTTGCTCAAAGAAACTCGGAGAGCTCAAAACACAAATCAGTGGAGCTCTGACATTGGAGAGAAAACTTACCATGACTTCCAACTGCTCTGAGAGATCAACGAACACAAATAGGTCCTGCAGGTACCTGGCTTCGGTCACTCAGCACTCCTGGGAGTCGTTAGAAGCTCTACTTCAGATCTGCTCTGACACCATCTGATAAAAGAAAAACTTCAGCTGAATTAAATTTAAAGGAGCTTAAGTGAGCAGGCAATGAATGATTCGCGAATTGGGCAGCCTTCTGAGCCAGAGTAGGCTCAGAGACTCCAGCACAGCCACGTGATGGAGGAAGATTTATGGACAGAGAAAGGAAAGTGAGGTACAGAAAACGGAGGTGAGGTACAGAAATAGCTGATTGGTTACAGCTTGGTGTTCACCTTATTTGAACAGGGTTCAAACAGTTGGCTACATTTGATTGGCCAAAACTCATTGATTAGCACAAGTGTAGACTACAGTCTGTTTACACCTCCACTTGTTATAGTTCATGATGTACAGAAAAACCTTTAGGCTGAACTTAAAATATGTAAGGAGGCAGATTTAGGCTAAATTGATTTATTTTTTATTATATTTTTAAGACGGAGTCTCACTCTGTCACTCAGGCTGGAGTGCAGTGGCGTGATCTCGGCTCATCACAACCTCCATCTCCTGGGTTTAAGCGATTCTCCTGCCTCAGCCTCCCAAGTAGGTGGGACTACAGGTGTGTGCCACCATTCCTGGCTATTTTTTGTATTTTTAGTAGAGATGGGGTTTCACCATGTTGGCCAAGCTGGTTTCAAACTCCTGGCCTCAGGTAATCCACCTGCCTTAGCCTCCCAAAGTGCTGGGATTAGAGGTGTGAGCCACCGCACCCGGCCGGCTAAACTTGATTTAACAGTACCTTTTGGGAGATAATTTTTTTGTATAATGGAATAGTTACTCTAATTATAAGCTGCTATTATACCTCATTTGGATCTGGGAATTTTCTCATGTGATGTATGTACACACACACACACACACACACACGACTAATATTGCAATATTCTTTTTTGTCTATGTTTGTGTGTCCTTGTAGAACTTTCTATAGCCCAGTCTGGAAGTGTAGGGAAACTGTATCTGTTTCAGAGTGAAACTGCTCTAGGGGATGGGAAATTTTGAGTTTATTATTTCCATGAGAAAATGGAATGGGGCTTCTTTTGGGGGAAGATTTAAAATTATCTGTGGAAAAAAGTGAGTTGGACTTGGTAATGTAAGATGAGAAATTTTTCATTATTATATTCAATGAGATAGATACAAATACTGGTTTCCTTAATATTTCTGAAATTGTATCATTGACTATGATAGATGAGACTACTGTTCAAACATATTCACTCTTCCACCTCTCCATTTCACTGGAAGAGTGTAGTTACTGGTTCTATTAATGTTGGGCATGGCTCTGACTTGCTTTGGCCTCAGGGTAGGTGGGGGACAGTTCTTTGCCTCTCAACTGTGCTCAGCCATGTAGCTTGCTTTGGTCAATGGATGTTAGCAGATGTGACTCACGGAGGAATGGAAATTACCTTGCATAGCTGGGCTTGTCCTCTTGAACTGCTGCCATCTCCATGCATAACACTTCTTTGAACTCCTTCAGCCTGAGCCCCAGATGGAATATCAGTGGAGAAGTTTAAATCTCAGTGAGGAGCCAAGTTCAGTTGGACTCATAGCTTGAAACAGAGCTGCCCCATTGAGCTCGCCTAGGTCAGCTAGCCCCAGCTGACCTGCAGTCATGTCAATTGTATGTCACTAAGATTCTGTGGCTCTTTTTTACTCAGCTTTAGCTAACTAATATATCACCATATCAGGGAATTTTGGTAGGACAACATAGCTAAGCACAATTTGAGATGGGGAATAGAATAGGGTAAATTCTCTGTTCAAAGCATATGGTAATCTGGTGCCTATTTTACTTATTATCCCATTTGTGCCCTTTTTTATAACATGTCTTTGGAAGCGAAACTGTACATCCAGTGTCTCTGTAACACTGAGTCTATTGTCCATGTAACATTCAGTCTACTGAACTGCTTTAAAATATTAGTTGAATGACAGTAGACTGAATGAATCTCTGTAGTTCCAGAAGGCAGGGAGAAGGATTGGGAGAGTCGACACAAAGTGTGCAGCCAGGGCTGCGTTGGTATTTTTCCTCTGATGTGCTCCACAGAAGGGCAGCTGACCCACTGTGGGTTGATAATTTCACTGGTTCACAGAAGACAGGGAATATAGGACTTTAGGGAAATAATGTGCCTTTGTCTTTGTCTTTCTCTTATTCTCTATCAAGGGGGAAAATGCTGCTCTGGGCTGGTTGGATTCAAGCTCATGGATTGGACCATGGGATAAAGTTTTAGTGGCAGATGGCTACTTCCTTGAAATAGAGTGGAGAAAAAGGGTGGCAGCATTGGTGAGAAGGGACAGGCAGGAGGCAGTAGGGAAGTCCAGCTTTACTCTGGAGAGAAGAAGAGGTGGGGGTGGGGAGGGCAGGGCCAGCTGTTTGGGGTGGGAGGCAGGGAAGGTGTTGGCTGCCCAGTTGACATCTCTTATCTCTTTCCTGGGGCCAGAGTAGGTTATTTTACAGCCCAGCCTCTTTATGGCCTCAGCAGAGAAGCAAAGGCAAACAAAGAACAGGTGATCCCTCAGGGCCCAAGGAGACGCCTCCTACAGCAGGTGTGCCCACTTCAGCAGCCCTGCTGGCCAGAATCTCTACTTAGAAGGCTTCTCGGAAGGCCAGGCCCTTATCGGCTTCCGACTTTGAAGTCCTAGGAACCCTCCCTCACACCTCCCTTCTATGTGGCTTTGAAAATACTTTGATATTCTATCCCTATCCCTTAATTATTTGAACCCTCACCAGTTTGTAATGAGCCTGAACCCATCTTTGCTCCATTTTACATATGACAAAACTGAGGCTGGAAGCGTTGTTGCCAAGCTTCTTTGCCCTTTGTACCATGGGATTTAATTACATATATTTTATGGATTCTTTCCTTTATAAAGTTGTAATCATTCATTCTTTTTTAATAGAGAGAAATTTAGAAAAGGAAACAAAGCAAAAAATGACCTAAAATCCTATGGGTCAGATAACTCCCGTTGATATTCTTTCCTTCTTTCCCCCAGTTCTATTTCCAGAGGTTACCACTTTCAATTTTTATTTCTGTTTCATTCTATAAAGATGAAGAAAATTTTTGACACCTTTAAAAATATAATTTAAATCATCTTAAACTTATAGAAAAGTTGAAAGTGAGGATAAAGAACATTAATTTTTCTATGCCATTTGAGAGCATGATCCCGGCAATTTGCATGAACACCTTGCTACCGCCTCATCTGCAGGCTCCACTAAAGTTTCATCAGCTGTCCCAAGATACACAGGTTTCATTCTCCTGTCTCTGGTCTCCTTCAATCTGGAATGGTTCTCCCTTCTTTCCTTGACTTCCATGGCCTTATGTTTCCAGATGACAGGCCAGTTATTCTGTAGTATGTCCCTCACCTGGGTTGAGGCTGATGCTTCTTCAGGGTTGGATTCACTTGCATGCACCTTCAGCAGGAAGATCACAGAAGCTGTGCTACGTTTTCCTTGCATCCTGTCATGCGGTGAGTAATTTCACTCTAGGATTAGAGATGGTGTTCGCTATGATCATTTGATTACAGAGGTGACTGCCAGCCTTCTCCACTGTAAGGTGACTCTTCTCTTTGTAATAAACAAATATTTTGTGATGAGGCACACTGAAACCATGAATATATTCCATTCCTCATCAAACTGTCACTTTACTCCATCATTTAGTTATATTGAAATGGACTCAGATTTTTATTTTATTCAGTAGGTTATTATCCATCATCATTATTATTTACTTTGATGCTCACATGGTCGAAGATTTGGCCATCAAGGGCCCCTTCAAGCCAGGTTCTGGGCTTTTCTGGCCTGCACCCTTCATTCTTAGAGTACTTCATTACTTTCTAGCTCCCAAGATCTTTCAGGTTTATCTTGGGCTTTCCCAGCCCTTGCCCTGGAATCAGCCATTTTCCGAAGGAGACTTGGATTCTTTTAATGGAGAATGGCATTTAGAAGTCAATATATGGGTGCTAGGAGTGTTCATTGCTATTGGGGTATCACTGCTCCTAGACTCTCTCAGTGGACAGAGCAAGGATATATATGCACACACACTATTAGATCAATATTTATCTCTCTATATAGAAAACCATGAGCTCACTTCAATACTTTCAATTCTAATCAAAACCACAGGGCTTATTCTGGGTTTCCCTCCTTCCATATTCATGACTGCCTTCTCCATGAGTGAGAAAACTGGCTCCCAACTTTGCTCAGTTGGTCCCCCTGCATATACCCAATCTTCCATAGCAGAACTCTGCCCCTCCACTCATTCTGTGTGGCTCTGGCATCCACACTTGGTTGTCCCCTTCTGCCATGTGGACTTTCATTTGACAGTACTTGGACTCTAACACCCTGTGCTAGGCCACCGTGCCCCTGCCTCCCTGCATGGCCACTCTTTGTCCTATTCTGGCTCTGACATGCCATGCCAGGCTCCCCCACGCCAGATGGGTGCCATCTGGTACATATCCCGTGTGCTTAGCTTAGACTACCCGGGCTATGATGGCTACTGTCCCACCCATGCCCATGTGCTGCATGCATCTTATGAAGGCATCTGGTTTATTCTCCCTGCTCATCAGTTCAATCAGCATGTGCTACCAGTGTAGTGCACCAGCATACCATCTGTGGATCTGTGGGATGTTCAGAAGATCAAGGTCTCTGTAGACCACACTATAACAGAAAGCTGGAAAACGAACATGATCTGGGAGAAGACACTGACTTTGTACTTCTATCCTTGCCAGGTGAAAGCAAACTTCTGCTGGTTCTTACCGATACAGATGGGGAGAAAACACAAGCTGAGTCAATAGCTACATACTAAGTGCTGAGAGTGGTTAAGTTGTTCTATGTTGCATTTAGAAAAGCAGCTAAAATTGGAGTTACTGCCTGATTAAATTTACGACGACATACAGTCATTCTCCAAGATTCAGCAACTTCCTGCACAGGCTAAAGAGCTAAAGAGGTGAGCCAAGTGGGCAGAAATGTGACAGGCCTCCCTGTCCCTGCATCTTTCATGTCTTTAATCATGGCATCGATCCCTGTAATTCCCCTAGAAATACAGTAATGCAGGTTTACTATTTGCGTAGGGAAAGAAAATCCCAGGCTCCTGGGCCTGTTCAACCATTTCTTTGACCTCATCTCTCCTTGCTTGATTTTATACCAGTTGTGCTGGAGTACCTTCTAATATGGTTTGGCTCTGTGTCCCCACCCAAATCTCATCTCTAATTGTCATCTCCACATGCCGAGGGAGGTACCTGGTGGGAGGTAATCGGATTATGGGGGCAGTTTACCTCATGCTGTTCTCATGATGGTAAGTTTCCACGAGATCTGATGGTTTAAAAGTGTTTGGGAGTCCCTAGCCTCTCTCCTGCCGCCATGTAAGATGTACCTTGCTTCCCCCTCTGCCATGGTTGTAAGTTTTCTGAGGCCTCCCCAGCCATGTGGAACTGCGAGTCAATTAAAGCTGTTTTGTTTATAAATCACCCAGTCTTAGGTAGTTCTTTATAGCAGTGTGAAAATGGACTAATACACTTCCTTAATGAACTCTCTCAGAAAGGATTCAGGAAATGTAAGCTTGCAAGTTTAGAAATATCCTTATTCTACCTTTACACTTGATATTATCGCTGAGATGAGCGTTTTAGGTTCAAAATATATTTCCAGGAGTCCTAAAAATATAGCTCCATCTTTTCAGAGTCTTCCATCATCCTATGTTGTTGACAAGACTGAGAATGGTCTCTGTCTCTCCTTTCCTTTGTAGGCAACCTTTCTCTTCCTGCTCCCACCCATGGAACATTTTAGAATCTTCTTTTTTTTTTTTTTTTTTTTTTTTTTTGGTGTTTTGAAATTTTGCAGTACCTGTCTAGGTGTGGAGCAGTTCCTCGGGCTTCCTTTTAATCTGTAGCTCTGGAATACTCTTGCTATTGATGATTCTATGTGTCGACTATTTTGCTCACACCCCACCCAGATGCATTCTCTACTGTGGTTCTCTGCTCTTCCCTGTGCCAGGGGAAGCTGATGGCTCCTTTGCTGGCAGGGCTCCAGTTGGGTTTGGTCAATGGGAGGGACTGACAGGAGACTGGAAGTGGAAGGAGAGAGAGGTTGGTAGAATTCTTTTCTACTTCCCCTTGCTTCCATGCTGTCTGGAGGCGGTGGCATGCCTCCACACTACAGAAGCTCCCACTGGGGGCCCTTCCTCTGCAGTCCTCTGGCTGTGGTAATGTGGTTTTCTCCTTTTGTTCTTTTAACTGTAGGGTGGTGATTGCTTCTGTCTTCTGCCAGTCTCTGGGTGCCTCACCATTTCTTGTTTCTTTCCTTTAATGCTTCCCACACCTCTGTAAGTTACCTTTTTATTAAAATCCCTTTGTTTGACAATCTGGGGGTGAATTATGTGTCCTGTGCAGACTATGACTGATATGCTGCCTTTCATTGTCTTGATTTTTCCTTCCTGGAAATTTTAGTAATTGGATGATGGGTCATTAGTGTTAATCATCCATGTCTCTTATTTTAGCTCTGAAGTTTTCCATCTTTCTGTGTTTTTGCTCTACATTATGGGATATTTCCTAAGCTGGTTCTCCCATCCCTTCTAATGATGTGTTTTCAAATTTCAGTAGTCATGCTTAGTTTTCAAGGATTCTTTCTTGCTTTCTTAGTCTGTCTTATTTCATGGCAATCTGCTCTTGTTATATGGATTCAGTAATTTCTCTAATTTAGGCATTAAAGGAAGTTTTGGTCTCTTAAAGTTATTTTCTATTCCCTAAGTTATTTCAGCTTCTTTTGGGGTCAGTTATTTTGTTTATTCATCTTGACCTATCTCCTTTGTGCTGTTGATTTCCTAAATGTGTGAGGATCTTTGGTTCTCTGTTATAAGTACTGGAAAATAAACTGGTTTCCCCGGATAGCTGATGTGGCTTCCCTCTGCTATAGCCTTCCATGAAAAAAGTAGGACAGCTTCCGGGAGCTAGCTATATGTGAGTGGACCATGCTTGGCAGCTGCCCTTCAGAATGCACAGG
The DNA here is from genome assembly GCF_000001405.40 of Homo sapiens. Lineage (NCBI taxonomy): Eukaryota > Metazoa > Chordata > Mammalia > Primates > Hominidae > Homo > Homo sapiens. The sequence continues at coordinate 133,421 of NW_021160001.1, forward strand.
TTGCGGGCAGGGATGGCCAAGGACATTTCTCAGGGAGCTGTGTGTGTGGGATGGGTCTCTGAGAATGGAGAGCTTGATGAGTTCAGGCCGTGGAAGCAACATCTACACAAGCCTGGATCTGAGAAACTCAACCATACTCCCTGAAAATGGAGAGTTTACATGCAGAATGAGTCTGGGGGAGGCAGCACTAGAAGGCCTGAAAGAGGAAGAGAGTCAGACTGATTTCAGAGGGACCCATCCTAGAGGGACCACTGCCATGACTCCATGGGGACATTTCCAAGGGGAGCCACAGGAGGTTTCACTGGAGAGTTGTGTATGTCTGTCCAGTGTCTAGGAGGTGCTCACCATGGCTGAGCTTGCAGGGCCTCTTAGGACTGTCCAGGTGAGATGTGTGGGTCGTGATGAGGGTTTGGAGAGGTTTCCAGCTAGAATTGGTCGGGACAGCCCATTAGCTCTGGGGCAGAGGCTCAGGGAGGTGGGCAAGCATGCAGGACACAGGAATGCTTATAGCCACAGCTCTGCAGGGTGTTTCTTGCCCATAACTGTGTGGAGAGCCATTCTCATCTCAACTCATTTCTTGCCACAACATCTCCCGAGGCAAACTTTGTTATTAGCTCCGCTTTGCAGATGAGAATCTGGGGCAATGCGAGACGGCTTCTGTGCCCGGCTTGTGACCAGTCACCACACTGACTCTCAATGTGGTGTAAGCAACTGTGAATGGGCCTGATTCCAAATCCCAGCAAATTTACAGTAAGGAGGGTGCCTGGGGTCTATCCATCCCCTGACTAGCTGATCTTCAGCTTCCTCATAGGACCAGGGGGAATACTGAGCATGCAGTGGACTGAGGTTCAGAGAGGTAATGTGGAGCGCTGCACACACCTGAGGGAGTTGTGCGCCTGTCTGACTTCCGGGTGATTCATGAGGAACATTCCTGATGGGGTGGGAAGGGAACCTGTCACTAAGCTATTTAGGAGAAGCAGTCTCCAGCAGGTCACACCAGCCAGCCACTTTTATGGCAGAAGGAAAATCCTACCTAGCCCCTTCCCCAGAGATGGCAGAATGCAGCCTGGCTGACTGGCAGAGCCTCTCAGGCTGTGCTCCGGACCCTGGACTCCAGCAAGGGGGAAGAACAGCAGCTCCCAGTTCTTTCTTACAGACTGCTTTCTTGAGGAACTTCAAGTGCTCTGGCTATGATTGGTGCAGGGCTCTGCTGCCTCCAGAGGGTGCTGTCTCCTTTCCCTAGCAGAGGCAAAGGGTCTGGCAGCCAACTCTGGGAGTATTGGTTTAACCTGAAATGTCTGCTAGGAAGAGCTACCTACCCCTCTCCTGGGCATTATGGTCCTGAAGGAAGAGCTTGGACTTTGGATTGAAAGTCCAGCCCTACCATCTACAAGTTGGCTGGCTGAGACAAGACACTCTACTTCTTTGAGGCTCAGTTTTCTCGCCTGTGAGATGGGATGATCATACCACACCAGTTAGGCATGAGGATGGACTAAGGGCAGGTTCACATGCTTCTGCCTGGCAAGGGAGCTGTTTGCTGCTTTTACCACCATTTCAGCTCTTCTGCTGTTCTCTGACCCACAAGAGCTAGGGTTCAGGCTGCGTGCCTTGCGCAGTAGTTCTCAAATGTGTCTATGTGGAAGCTTGCCTCCAAGGGCTTACCAGCAAATCCAGACCCCACACAGCTGCCCTGCAAGAAGGAGGTGACAGTGGCTGCGTTCTTGCCTGCACAGAGGACGGGTGTCCATAGAGCTCCCAGCTGGAGTTGAGCAGTTTCTGGTCAAGCAATGTTCTCTGATTTTACATGTCTGGAAGCTACCGTTACAATCAGGTCTTCTTAAATGTCCTCCCTCCCTCCGTCTTCCTTTCTTCCTTTCTTTCTTTGTCAGATGCTGTGTGTGGACTTGTGCTGGGATCTGGAGGCGGAGACAAGAGCTGTGACCTAGACATAGGGGAGTGGGGAGACAAAGCTGCTCAGGCAGACAACCAACTAGGCTGCTACATCTGCCTCTGCAGCAGAGCATGGGAGGGTGGTAGGAATTTGTCATGGCAGCAGGGACATCGGAGCTGGGGTGCAACGGAGGAGCAGCCGCTTTCCAGGTAGTCAAGACAGGAAGGAGCATGGTCCAGAAAGAAGAGATGACAGGTGCCAGTCTACAGCGATGGTGAGCAGAGGCCTGGGGGCTTGGCAGGTGGGTTCGCATCCTGGATCTGGCTGTTTCTTAGCTGAGTGACTTTGGGCAAGTTGCTCAACCACTGAGTGTCACTTTGCTTCATCAGCACGATGGGAATAAAAATGCCCACCTCTCAGAGCTGTTGTGATGATTAACTAAGGTAGTGTCTGCAGAGTCTCTGCACTACAAACGGCAGCTGCCATTCTAGAGGGACCACTGCCATGACTTCATGGGGACATTTCCATGGGGAGCCACAGGAGGTTCACTGGACAGGTGTGTATGTCCAGTGTTTAGGAGGTGCTCTTGAAGCAGATCTGTTACTCTCAGGAGGTTCTCTAAGCGCATATGTGACTTTGCCATGTGGGGATGGGGGGCAGGGAATTATAAGCTAGTGTATTCAAAACAGGAGCAGCCCTTGTAAGCAAAGCTGTTCCATTATAGCCAAGTCATGTGCATCTCAGCTCCAAAGGAGAAAGTGACCATTCTCATTGAATTCTCATCGCCACAACCTTGGGACTGCCTGAGATAAGACACTCCACTTCCAGGGCCCACCCTGAGTTTTCACTCACACCCTGGATGCCCATCTCCTTCCCTCACCCTGGCTGACATTCTCAGCCACACTGCCCTCCCCTGGTCTCCAGGGGCTGAATGCTCCCAGCCTCAGGGCTTTTGCCGTGGCTGTGCCATCCATCTGGCCTATCGAACCCATTTGCTCACAGCATCTCACCCCCTGTAATAATTTATTTCCCTCTTTCCTTGTACCCTGTCTGTCTTCTCCCCCAGGGCTGAGAGCTCCAGAAGGAACCAAGGACAGGGAGCCTGTCTTGTCCAGCTCTGGTGCCCAGCAGGAGAGCCAGGCTCATAGGAGGTCTGCAAGTAATGTTTCTGGACGAACTTATGAAAGGCAGGTCTTTTTATACCCATTTCATGGATGAGGAAACTGAGGCAGAGAGAGAGAGAGACAGGCAGACGCACACACCCCTAGACAGAGAGAAACACTCCTGGAGAAAGAGAAAGGGAGGGAGAGAGGGAGGGGGAGGGAGGGAGAGAGAGAGAGAGAGAGAGAGAGAGAGAAAGAAAGAAAGAAAGAAAGAAAGAAAGAAAGAAAGAAAGAAAGAAAGAGAGAGAGAAAGACAGCGCAGCTCCAGCCTGCCTGTATCCAGGGTTGAGGTGGGCGTGAGAGACACACGCAGGCAGGGCTGCAGTTCCGGGCAGGCCTTGGGGGCTCAAGATGCGGCTCCCCAGGGCGAGTGCTGGGGTCCCGGGGCAGGCGGGCGGCTGGAGCCCTCTCGTGGGCGGGCGCAAGGGGCAGGCTGGGCGGGCGCAGGCGGGAGCGTAGCAGCCGCTCCACTCTGCACGCAGGCAGCATCGGGGCAGCAGGAGCAGGTGAAGCAGGCGCGGCTCTGCCCCGCGCCTGGTGCCCCCTGGGCACAGGAGTGCGGCCGGGGGCGGGGCCGAGTGGGCCCCGGTACGAACCCTCCGGGAAGCCGGGCGCGCTGCCTGCCCTTGGCCCGGGGCGCAGAGCGTCACACTGGATCTGGGGAGCATCCTACCCCCACTGTGGACCTCAGTCTCCTCACCTGAGACATGGGCGGCCCCATCCGCACCCTGTAAGCCGCAAGCCAAGGAGGTAAGGGGTGCATCTGAGGTGTCTGGGCGCTATGGGCATTAGGATATAGTAGCTTTTGCTGAGATTTCAGGAGACAAAGCAAAGGGCCTTCCCTATTCTAACCCCACTGGGAGATTAGCATTGTGTGTATGATTCATTAATTTTCCTCTGATTGACTGGGAAGGCAGGCTGCAGGGGGTCCCTGTTGGGGCTTGCAGCTGGTTCTAGTTTTTGTATCTGGAGAGCTGCCTGGGGACAAAATGCAGAGACACCATTTTATTGACCTTGCGTAATAATCTACCCTCCCCCTCATACACTCGCCACCCCCTTGGGTGTGCCTGAGGGACTTGAGGTCCCCTGGTCCTCACTGGTCAGTGTACCCCAAGCCCAGCAGCCCCAGGCAGATGCCCAACACCACCTTTTCAGTGCTCCTCCTCCTCCTGTCTTGGCCCTCTCTGCCAATCCATTTTCTATATCCAAGTGATCTTACTGGAATGGACCTGACCTTGCTGGTCTGGCCCACCACTCCAGCTTCATCATCTGCCACCCTGGAACCTCTTATTCTGCTTACTTTTCCCAGCAGGCTCTGCTCCTTCCTGCCTCTGTGCCTTTGCACATGCTGTTCCTTGCACTTCGAGTTCCCTCCTCTCCCTGTCCCTTTGGCTGGTTGACTCCTCTTCAGCCTTTGAGCCCTGTACCATTGCCACCTCTTCTCTCACCTCCCTGCTCCCTGCTCCTTCTCTGATCTCTCAACTCACAGGCCTCTCTTTCATATTGGTGTTGGCAATGGCAATGAGTTCCATCTGCATTCGTGCTGGTCAGCCCCTCTGCTCTGGGAGGGCCATGACTGTATAAGTCATCTTTGCAGCCCTTGTTTCTAGCCCAGGGCTTGACACACACTTATTGAGTGGGTGAATGAAGCAGTGAGCATTTTCTGGAGCCCTCCCAGCCCAGTCCTTCCACTCTGATCCTGCTTTAGGTGGTTGGTTTGGGATGAATGGTGTTTCTCCACACCACTGGCCAAGCCTTGCTGATGGTCACCCAGAGCCTTGGGTTCTGGCCCATTTGCTGCTTCTGAGTGCAGTGCCTCTGCCACAGGTTCATGCAGCTGCGACTGTTCTTTATCTTATATTGGGCCCTGTGTTTGGCTCTGGAATAGTTTATTTTGCCATGTTCAGCCCCAAATGGCCCTTTTTGCCCGAAGACCATAGTGCTGGAGAAATCTTCCTGCCTTCGAGATCTGGTTCCTAAATAACCAGACTGTAAACTATCAGGTGAATTCACAGCTTGATCTTTTAAATGACCAAATGAGACTCTTTTTTTTTTTTTTTTTGAGACAGAGTCTCGCTCTGTTGCCCAGGCTGGAGTGCAGTGGTGCACTCTCTGCTGACTGCAACCTCCGCCTCCCAGGTTCAAGTGATTCTCCTGCTTCACCCTCCCATGTAGCTGGGACTACAGGCATGCACCACCACACTTGGCTAATTTTTGTATTTTCAGCAGAGACGGGGTTTCACCATGTTGGCCAGGCAGGTGTTGAAGTCCTGACCTTAGAAACTCATCTTTATAAGTAGATCAGATGCACAGCAAGTGACATTCATGACAGCCGACAAATAGATTTTACTGAGCTCTGGTTGATTTTGGCCTTGTGCTCTGCAAAAACTGCCTTAACATAGCAATTGATCATGTAAAAAATACATATGGCCATGATATGAGACTTAAAGAATATCTCGAATAGGGTTTTCTGCTACAGTGTTTTACAAGATGGGGTCCAAGGGCCATGTGCATCAGAATCACATAGTCTACTTGTTAAATACAGATTCCTGGCCCCCATCCTGGATTCACTTAACTACATCTCCTGGTGGAAGGGCCCTGGGATGTGCACTTTCAACATGCTTCTAGAATGATTCTGATGTTTACTGAAGGTTGAGAACTGCAACCCTGTGGGATTAATAATGACTAGAGAATCTGAGAGGTGAGTCACAATGATGTATGTAGTGGTATGGTGCTTCCCATGCAAAACATCCATCATTGGCACTAACACGGGGGAACTCTGGAGTCTAAATTCCAACTCAGTCTTGGCAGGGGGTCCGTTGTGCTGAGGAGGTCCTCGGAGAAGGGACAGCCTGTACCAGGGCATAGAGATGTGGAAGAGTCTGGTGTGCTTGTGAGCTGCACACTGCATCAAGTGACTTGAACATAGTCATGGAGTAGGTTCTGTGGAGGGCACTGGGCACCTGTGACTTTGGCCAGGTATGTCTGTGCACATGGTGGGTAGTAGGAAGAAGCTGGTGTGCTGATGAGCCAGGCTTTGCATACTGGGCAGTCTTCAGTTTTGCCAGGTATCACCTAAAAAACAAGGCTACCAGGGCAGGGAGGGGCTGAGACCAGGAGGGTGCACTGATTGTGGATCCCCGAGGCTTTAGCTCTATCTTGAAGGGAATGGGGTGCCGTGGAAGGACACAAGCAATCCTGTGCAGAGTGGCATTTATTGCTGTCTCCATTCAGATAAAATGTGACAAGGGGCATTCTACCCATGTTCCCTGAACAATTCCGTCACTAAAGTCTGCATACAGCACTCCAACTTCTTTATCATCAGAACAGCCTCATCCTGAGGCCGGAGGGAATTAGTAGAACAAGTTCTGGCATTAGATGACCTGAGTTTGTAACTGGGCCCTGTTACTAATTAGCTGTGTGACTATGGGCAAGTTGCTTTCCATCTCAGGGTCTTAGATTCCTCATCTATGAAACGGATTGATAATATCTACCTCTAGGAATAAACTAGCTAATAGACGAAAGTGCTGAGCACAGTACCCAGCATGCAACAAGTGCTTCTAACAAGGTAGCAATCATTGGATGCCAATGTCTCACCATGAGCCTTAGGTAATAGCCCCTCCAGATACCAGCCTTGGGTTGGAAGCAGCTGAGAGCCTTTCTACCCGGCCCTGCTCCTCTCTGGATTCTACCCTGGGCATGATCCCTGAGTATTGTTTGTCTGTTTGCCTTGTAGGCGTCATCCCTCAAGTGTATCACTTAGTTCAAGAGTCCTGGAATCTTTTCACATCCACTATGAACACCTCTCACCTCCTGGCCTTGCTGCTCCCAAAATCTCCACAAGGTGAAAACAGAAGCAAACCCCTGGGCACCCCATACAACTTCTCTGAACATTGCCAGGATTCCGTGGACGTGATGGTCTTCATTGTCACTTCCTACAGCATTGAGACTGTCGTGGGGGTCCTGGGTAACCTCTGCCTGATGTGTGTAACTGTGAGGCAGAAGGAGAAAGCCAACGTGACCAACCTGCTTATCGCCAACCTGGCCTTCTCTGACTTCCTCATGTGCCTCCTCTGCCAGCCGCTGACCGCCGTCTACACCATCATGGACTACTGGATCTTTGGAGAGACCCTCTGCAAGATGTCGGCCTTCATCCAGTGCATGTCGGTGACGGTCTCCATCCTCTCGCTCGTCCTCGTGGCCCTGGAGAGGCATCAGCTCATCATCAACCCAACAGGCTGGAAGCCCAGCATCTCACAGGCCTACCTGGGGATTGTGCTCATCTGGGTCATTGCCTGTGTCCTCTCCCTGCCCTTCCTGGCCAACAGCATCCTGGAGAATGTCTTCCACAAGAACCACTCCAAGGCTCTGGAGTTCCTGGCGGATAAGGTGGTCTGTACCGAGTCCTGGCCACTGGCTCACCACCGCACCATCTACACCACCTTCCTGCTCCTCTTCCAGTACTGCCTCCCACTGGGCTTCATCTTGGTCTGTTATGCACGCATCTACCGGCGCCTGCAGAGGCAGGGGCGCGTGTTTCACAAGGGCACCTACAGCTTGCGAGCTGGGCACATGAAGCAGGTCAATGTGGTGCTGGTGGTGATGGTGGTGGCCTTTGCCGTGCTCTGGCTGCCTCTGCATGTGTTCAACAGCCTGGAAGACTGGCACCATGAGGCCATCCCCATCTGCCATGGGAACCTCATCTTCTTAGTGTGCCACTTGCTTGCCATGGCCTCCACCTGTGTCAACCCATTCATCTATGGCTTTCTCAACACCAACTTCAAGAAGGAGATCAAGGCCCTGGTGCTGACTTGCCAGCAGAGCGCCCCCCTGGAGGAGTCAGAGCATCTGCCCCTGTCCACAGTACATACGGAAGTCTCCAAAGGGTCCCTGAGGCTAAGTGGCAGGTCCAATCCCATTTAACCAGGTCTAGGTCTTCTCCCTGCCATGTCCCTTGCCAGGCTCTTCCACTTAGCTAAGTGGGCACACTGCAAGCTGGGGTGGCACCCCAGCATTCCTGGCTTTCTGGGGTCCAGATAGGCTGGCAAGAGCTGTTTTTGCATCCATTTGCATCGTGAAGACTGGCATTTTGATACTTCAGCTGTTTGTTCCTGGGAGAATTCTGAGCACAGATTCCAGAGGTCACAGTAAGCCTTGCAGCTTGAGCTGAAAGATGCCAGAGCCGGAGATGTCTGCTGGCAGCAGGCAGGGTTCATTCTGGTGACACAGCAACAGATGCCTGGCCTGGGAACCCAGGGATTTCACCTCCACCAGTGAGACCACGGGGCCACTGTGGGGTGAGGGAAGGAGCGCTTGGAGTCAGAGCTCTAGACCTTGGTCAACTCTTCACCTCTGTGAGAGATGGTGTGTGGAGGTGCTTCAGAAGTAAAGAATTCTGTGGATGCAAAGCAGTGGGATTACTGTTAGATCATTAGCGCATCCAGCTGAAGACAATAGATGCAGTAGTCTTGGCTTACAGCCCTCTGAAGCAGGAATTCCAGGACTCATTTCCTACTCCATCCCTTTTCTCTATCACTGTGTCTTCCACCTTACATGGAAATCAGCCTGCAAGTTCCTCTCCTCGATGAGATGGCAAGCGCCTTGCAGGTGAAATCCATACCATCATGGGGCTTGTGTCTTACATGCCATGGGCAGGCCCTGGCACAAGGAGAGAGCTCCAGGGAAGTTTTCCATGGTGGGTTGATGGTAAAGGTGCCACTCACTGCTGAATGTTTGGTGCTGGACAGGAGTCCAGCATGGGAAGGGGGCCAGGGCTCAGGCTCCTGCAGCCATAGTCTCCTGCCTGCCCTTCCTTGCCTCCCAGGACCTCATTTGATACAGTAGCTGGACCGAGACTCTGTGGCTCTCCCCACTGTTGACCCACTACAGAGGCCTCCAGAACTCAAGGCTATGGCTGCAGCCTCCTTCACTCTGTGCTCTGACCACTGAGCTGACTTGCCCCAGATAATGTGCCACGTATCTTTCAAAGCTTCCTCAGGGTATTGGGCATCCCAGTGGCCTTAAGTAGGATCAGGGGCAGGGAGTCCTGGGAGTCTAACTTCATGGGGCACTGGCTGAAAAAAGCAGGGGTCCCCTTCCTCCAGCCATCCAGGGAAAAAGGAGAAAGGGCTCCAATGAGTGTGAATATCTTACCTTGGGGGTTATGGCCTAGTCCTCTGGATGCTGAACCAGGCCCAAGGCTTCATCTATGTGTGGACCAGACAGCCTGTCCTTGCAGGGAAAGAAATGTCAAGACTGCTCCTGGGCTGCATTGGATGGGATGTCTCCGCATGGTTCTGTTGGCTCAGACTGACCCTCCAGCAGAGTGGACAGTGGCTGGCCTACTATAGCCTCCCAGGGCAGGGTGTTCATGTGCTGGAGCCCTGGAAGAGCCTCATCATAAGCCAGCATAGGTTCTGCAAAGGGGGTCTGGCATAGGGCTCTCACCCCTGACCAAGAACCGGTGGAACTGACGCCCAAGACAAGTGCTCTTTGAGCCAGCAGCTCCCTTCCTGGAGCTGTTTGTCTTATCGCTTCTTTTGGTCACATCTCCCATTCAGTTCCTTTGTTCATTTTTGTGTTGGATTTTGGGCAGATTTCTTGAGCCACTCTCTTGGACACAGCTTGTGCTTGTCCTGTGGTGCCATCTGCTGCTGGCTGCTCCAGGTGACCACCTGCCAGCGAAGCCCAGGCTCCGGGACCCATCTATTTTGTGAAAAGCCCACATGCACAAAGCAACCCCCAAATGCCAAAGGAGCCAAGAGACCAAAGAAGGAAGCAGACAAATCCAGTTTGTTGGTATTGAGTGATTTATTGAGGGAACTTTTAAGCAGGCGGGTGGTCTCGGGTGGCCACAAGACAGGCAGATCTCTGCACTGTTACTCTCGGACCCAAGGCTTATATACCAAGGGAAAAGGATATACATGCTCCAGCAAGACAGTGAAAGGTAGTGTGCCAGAGCAGGCAAGAACGCCATGTGCATCATAGCCCAGAATTTGCATGATAACATCAAGCTTGCTTTGATCTAAAAGCAGGAGTACATATTCTTACACTCGGGACAGTAAATAAAGTAGGAGTCAGGAGGCATTCATGGGACTGGGGCTAATCAGAAGTCAACATGGGCAAATTAGCATCCAAGATGGAGTCACTTTTGTCTTCCCATCACCCCAGAAAGATGTCATTGTTCAAGCTTCCCAAGGAATTGGGGGCCTCAGGCCCCCCTGGATCCCACGCAAGTGCCTGGAGTTGCTTCTCATTATTAGTCTCGATGGTGCCAAGATGCTGGGGACAAAGATGATTTCAGGTGCAGACATGCTTGAGGACGGAGGGCCAGGCTAGGCCTCTGGGGAAAGTGTTTGGTGCTAAGAATTGGGGTAGTGGGTAGAAGCCTCGTTGAGTGTGTTCTGTGCCCCAGCATCACCTGGAGTTTGTAGATATTCAGTCCTTGTTGCCAGCCCAGCTCGATTGAATCCAAATCCATGTTTTATCAGGATCCCAGGTTAATTGTGTGCACATTAAAGTTTGAGAAGCTCTGCTCTAAGAAACAGGTTGCCCTGGAGCCTAGAGACACTGGGTAAGCACCTGTAGACACCCATCCTAGTTCTGGGAACGTCTCTAAAATTGTTATTGCTGAAAAGGTGCATTCAGTTTTGGTTGTCTGTCTCATCTCTGGCTGCATGTGGTCATATTTTTTGTGAGGCTTTTTCATTCTTTTGATAAATATTTGCCATGTGCATAGTTTGCATAGATATGTTCTTAGTGAACATGGCTTTTTGTATTCTGCTCTATTTCACTTAAAACTGTATCATCAACAGTTTTTCATCTTGCTGGATATCTTTTTTTTTTTTTTTTTTTTGAGAAGGAGTTTCACTCATGCTGCCCAGGCTGGAGTGCAATGGCACGATCTTGGCTCACTGCAGCTTCTGCCTCCTGGATTCAAGCAATTCTCCTGCCTCAGCCTCCTGTGTAACTGGGATTACAGGTGCTTGCCACCACACCCAGCTATTTTTTTTTTTTTTTTGTATTTTTAGTAGAGATGGGGTTTCACTATGTTGGCCAGGCTGGTCTCGAACTCCTGACCTCAGGTGATCCGCTCTGCTCTGACTTCCAAAGTGCTGGGATTACAGGCATGAGCCACCGTGCCCAGCCTAGATATCATTTTTGATGGCCGCTTACAAGTGTACGAACTGTCCCAGTGAAAGCCAGTACCCCTCAGTATCTCTAGCTCCTGGGGGTGGTGGGGGGGGTGGGAGGGCATCTCTAGCCAGCAAGTGGACCCTCTGCCACCCATTGTGAGAGGTACCCACCTTACAGAGGAGGATCATGGCTGGAATTGGAGACTCATACCACAAAGACTGACTGGGAACCCTTGGAAGATGCAAAACTTTATCACGTCCTGGCTGTGAGTGCTAAAACCCTGCCTAATGCTAGCCTTTCTTTTTTAAAGTATTGATGTGGCCTTTTTTTTTCCATTATAAAAGTAATCATATTCATTCTGAAAGATATACAATATATACAAAAATAAAATTGAAAAAAGGAAATTATCAGGAGTTCCACCACTCAGACATAATCACTGTTTACATTTTGGGGAGTCATTTTAAAAGTTTTCATATGCATAGTCATATACATATGTCTGTTTTTTAAAAAAATGGTTGAGAGCATAGTGTGTCCACATGGGAACTTATATATCATATTTAAGGATTGTTTTATATCTTTTTTGTTTAACCTGATATAAATTTTTATTCACTTGTTTATTCATTAAATATGTCAGACACTATGTTAGCTGTGGGGATACAGTGGTTGTAATCAGACATTGTCCCTGTTCTATGGAACTTAGAGTCCATTGATAGATATATCCTATGTCCTTAATATCATCTGTTGTGGCATTCTGAGCTGTCTCTAGACCTGTTGCATAGAGTTTTATGATGAACGTCTATGCAAAGAACCTTTTCTATATTTGGAATTATTTCCTTAGGAGAGATTTCCAGAAGTGGAATTAACAAAGGGCATGGACAGTTTTCAAGGCTCTTGACGTGTGCTGCAAAGTTGATTTCCAAAAAAGGTCTGGAACAATTTCAGGGCACTCCCTGAAGAGTGCCCATTTCACCGTACCCTGGCCACTGTTGGTGATTTACCATTAACCAAAAGACTTTGACCTGTATCGCCCAGACTGGAGGGTGTCCCAGCTCCTGCCTCCAGGTCCAGCAAACACTGTGGGCACTGACCATTCAAGGCTAGCCTGACCCTGTCCCTCTGTGAAACCTTTGGGGGTTCCACAAAGCCTTTAGGGTTGCAGGACCACATAACTTATCCAAACAGGGATACTTGAGCATGAAAGGGGCCACCATGAATAATCACCCTGGGACAACAGGCAAAACTACCCTGGGAAATGGGAACATGAGATCATCCTACTATAGATAAATCTGATCCCTTTAACATAGCTTGAATTCAACCCTCTCCACCATCTGGCCCCAACTTACTTTTTCAGTCTCTTTGCATCCTGACATATCACACGATCCAGTCACAGTCGGCCTGCAATTACCAACCATGCCTTGGGTGTCACTGTCTCTGTACATCTGCTCCCGCCATTCCCTCCTCCTGCCTCCAGCCACCCCAACCCCCGCCAGTCTGCAATGCGCCCCCTCGCCCATCTGTGTAGGTCCAAATCCCACCCTTGCTTCAAAACACAAATTAAATGGTACCATTCAATACTGCTTTCATTCAACAAACATGTACTGACTGCTTACGATGTGTCAGGCACATAGAGTACAAGACCGAAAACATCCCACCTCCTGTGGAACTTTAATTTGTGTGTGCAACTGTGACAACTGGTCCTAAAGATGAACACAAAATGATGTGCCAGAGAGTCTGCCCTGTTATGGTTTTGAATAGACACACCCACCACCCCACAAGGTTATGAGCTCTTTGAGGGTAAAATCCAAGAGGCTCATCCTCCACCCTTGCAAAACCTCTGACACACCCTTGGATAGAGCAGGCACTTAAGCATTTGCCAAGTGAAGAATTAATATGAAAGAAGCTTACCTATTCACTCCGCAAGAGTTTTCTAATAACCAGTTCTGGGTTCTCCATGAATCTGAGATCAAAGGGGAGCCTAAATTTCCACATACCTTAGAGAAACACCCCCAGGTCCTACCACTGTGACTCTCTGTCCACCCTGATACTGGAAGAAACTGAAGTCACCGGACTCACTGATTGCTGCTTCTTGTGAGGTTAAGTGACTCATCCAAGGTCACACAGCTAGATAGTGACTGAGCCACTGGAGGGGTCAGGAGGTGATACAGGAAAGACTCAGAATGCATGAGTGGATAAGTCACCAAAGGAGTCACTGGAGTGGAGGGGCCTGGAGGGGAAGGTGACCCTGAGTGCTGGAATGGCCAGAGAAGAACAAACAAGCTAACAGCCCCAAAGACCTCCATTGTCCCCAGATCCCATTCACTGTCATCTCCTGAAGAACATCACTCTCACACCATCAGTGTTCTCTGCTCCTTTTTGCACAAAACTCCTCCAGAGACTTGTCTAGCCTCTTTCTCTCTCTCTCTTTTTTTTTTTTTTGTTCTTTTAGAGACAGGGTCTTGCTCTGTCACCCAGGCTGGAATGCAGTGGCATGAACATAGCTCACTGCAACTCGAACTCCTGGGCTCAAGTGATCATCTCACCTCAGCCTCTTGAATAGCTAGCACCACAGGTGCATACCACCATGTCCAGCTAATTAAAAAATTAAGTCTTTTTTTTTTCTTTTTTTGATAGAGACTGGGTCTCCCTATGTTGTCCAGGCTGGTTTTCCTTTTTTTTTTCCTTTTTTGTAGAGATGAGGTCTCTCTCTGTTGCCCAGGCTGGTCTTGAACTCCTGGCCTCAAGTGATCCTTCTGTCTCGGCCTCCCAAAGTGCTGGGATTGGCATGGGATACTGTGCCTGGCCCCCTGTCTAATCCTGAAGCTTCCACTTCCTCTCCTCTTATGTGCTCACCAGTCCATTCATATAGCTCTTGCCATGTTGCCAAATCCTGTGGCCAGTTCTCAGTCTTGTCTGATATGGTCGTCAGCTGTATTGGGCAGTTGGTCACTCCCTTCTCCTTGAGACTCCTGCATGTGGCTTTTTCAGGGCATAATGGTCATGGTTCTCCCTGCCTCATTGGGCTCTTCTTCCCCATCTCTTTTCTTGGACTCTTGTTGCCCTGATTTTGGGACACTGGAGCATCCCCAAGGAGCCCTGGAGGTCCTCTCATTCCCCTGGTGAGCTCACCCAGTTTTCTGGTGCTAAATGCCACAAATACTCTAATGTTCCCCAGTGTATCTCCAGTCTGAACTTCTCCCTGACCTCCACATTTGGGTGTCCAGGCATGCTTTGTGTTTCCTAGACACCAGTCAGCATCTCAAGCTTGGCACATTCAAAAGCAAACTCCAGATTTGTCCCTGCTACCTCCTTCCTCAGTGTCCTCCTTTTCAGAAAAGGGCAAGTCCTGCTTTTCATTTGCTTGGGCCACAGTCTTTGGGATCACCTCCTATTCACAACCCTCATCCAATCTATCGGTGAGTTCTGTAAGCTGTGCCTTCAAAATGTTCTCAGAATGACCACTTCTCACTGCCTCCAGGCTCTGCCTTCAGGTTCAAGCCACTGTCCTCCCTACTGAGATCATGGCAGAGGCCTCCTTTCTGGCCTCATTCAGCCAGAGTGATCCACTGAAACTAGTCAGGTGCCTCTACAACTTTGTTCAACCCTCCAGTGGCTTTCCATCATACTCAGGGCAAATTTCACAGTCACAGTCTCCACCTGTGTCTGCAGATCATCCACCCCTCTCTGGCCTCACTTCCCACTACCCTTCCCCTCACCCACTCCTCTTCAGCAGTGCTTGCTTCTCTGCTATCTTTTGAACAGGCTAAGACCTCTCCCGCCTCAGGCCTTTCTACTTCCTACTCTTGCTGCTTGGAATGCCACCCCTTGATATCAACTTTCTCCCTTGCTCCCTTCACCTTAAGTGAACCTTTATTAGAAGATTAATTTCCTGGCTGGGCATGGTGGTTTGTGCCTGTAATCCCAGCACTTCGGGAGGCCAAAGCAGGCAGATCACTTGAGCCCAGGAATTTGAGACCAGTCTAGACAACATAGTGAAACCCCATCTCTCTCTACAAAAATTACAAAAATCAGCTGGGCATGGTGGCACAAGCCTGTATTCTGAGCTACTTGGGAGGCTGAGGTGGGAGGATTGACTAAGCACAGAAGGTCAAGGCTGCAGTGAGCCATGATCACACCGTTGCACACCAGCCTGGGCAACAGAGTGAAAGCCTGTCTCAAAAAACAGAAGACTAATTTTTTAACCATCCTGTAAAAATATAACCATCCTCCCTCTCTCTTCCCTTTTCTGCCCAGTTTCTGCCACAGGACTTAGCACATTGGCTGGTTCTTTGTTGAGGGTCTCCACTCCCTCATTAGAACATGAACCCCATGGAAGTAGGCACTGTAGATGTTTTATTTACTGTCCAGCTCTCAGCAAGAACAGGCTGTTCACGAGAGGTGCAGAAGAAATATCCATAGTACAAGTGAATTTCCAACTGTTATAGTTCATCAGTGGAGAGCTGCACTTCAGCCTCTTATTTGTGGAGAGCGGGCATCTGGTTTTGTAGCTGTTTGGTCCCAAGTTTGACAGCCGTTGTCTGCTGACTGAAAGGGAGCTGAAGCAGCTCCCTTTGCATCCTGGTTTCCTGGTTTGTAATAATAAACACTGGCTGCCATGTATTTAGTGCCCCAACCACTGTGCCAGATGCTTTATATACATTGCCTTCCCTCAATCCTGAGATCAGATAGATGAAGAAACTGAAGCTTATAGAGGTGAAATAATTTTTTCCACATTTTCAATAAGAGCCAAAGATGAAACCCAATCAGTTATCTTCCAAAGCCTATGACTTAGACTGTTGTAGCAGGAAGGACAGTTGGCCAGATGACCTCCAAGTGGCCTTGAAGCTCATAGCTAGAAAGTATGAGCTTTATGGGCAATGGAGAAGCACTGAAAGCTTTTAAGCAGGGGGATGGCATGGTCAGGTTACATGGAGGGAGAGTAGTGTGGCTGGATTGGCCTGCATTCCCCAGAAAGCAGAATCTGGGGCAGAGGTCTATGAGCTTTTCCTTTATTAGGGAGAAAGATCCCAGGGAACAAGATGAAGAATATGGGGAAGGAGACAGGGAAGGAGGGAGAGTCAATCTGAAGATGCGCTACTGAGCTGGCAGCTGATTACTCGGTATCTCTTAAAACCATCTTAGGACAGTTTGTCTGGACGAAAAAAGAGGTAAGAACTCATCCATCGGTTTCCATATTCCCTTGGCAAAGGTTCGTACATGGAGCATTACCTCCCCACACTCTGGGGACACACAGGAACACTGAACATACCTGGACATAAACAGAGCAGGTCCTGCAGAGATGAGAAGGATGTTTGGGGTATGAGGTGAGGCGCCATCAGGTCGCACCTGTGTGAAGCCAGTGAGCTCTCTCAGAGCTGGTGCCTCAGTGGGTGCTGGACCAAGAGGCCAGTGAGGACAAGAGGATCATAAGCAGAGCAGAAACAGCATCCAATTCAGGGTCAGAGGAGGTGGTGTGGGCTGAACTGTGTCCCCCCAAACTCATATATTGAATTCCTAACCAACGGTACCTCATCATGTGGCCTTCTTTGGAAGCAGTGTCATTGCAGGTATAATTAGTTAAGATGAGGTCATACTGGAATATAGTGGGTCCCTAATCCAATCCCTTGGCAAAGGTTCATACATTGAGCATTGTCCGTATAAGACTGGTGTCCTTATAAGAAGGGGAAATTTGGACACAGAAACACACACAGGGAGGATGTGTTGTGACCATGAAGGCAGAGTTCAGGGTAGTCCTTCTACAAGCCAAGGCATGCTGAAGATGGAAGTAATCCACTAGAAGCTGAGGGACAGGCACCCAACAGGCTCCTGCACAGCCTTCCGAAGGAACCAACCCTGCTGACACCTTGACCTTGAACTTGCAGCCTCCAGAACTGTGAGACCATAAGTTTCTGTCATTTTAGCCGCTCTGCCTGTAACGCTTTGTTGTGGCAACCCCAGGAAACTAACAGAGGAGGTGAGATTGGGGGCAGGGAGGCCCATCTGTGGGGGGCATCATGTCAGTCAGGCACTCAGTAACTGGGGGAAAATCCCAAACTCAAGTGGGTGATGGCAAAATGGGGAACTTATCGGCTCATGGAATGGGGCTCTCCAAAGGAAGTTCTTTGACTTCAGGCTTGATTCAAGGGTTTGAACGAGGATGGTAGGGCTCTCTAGTCCTTGCCCCCTTGTCTCCACATGTTTTGAACTGCACGTTTGTGTGCCTCCAGAATTCCTATGTTGAAACCCTAACCCACAATGGGATGGTATGTGGAGATGGAGCCTTTGAGAAGTGATTAGATTTAGTTGAAGTTATGGGGATTCTTCATGACGGGATTAGGCCCTTACCAGAAGAGACCAAAGAGCATGCTCTCTCTCTCTCTCTCTCTCTCTCTTTCTCTGTCTTTCTGTCTCTCTCTCTCTCTCTCTCTCTCTCTGCCATGTGAAGATACATCAGGGAGATGTCCATCTGCAACCCAGGAAGAGAGCCCTCATGAGGAAACAAGCAGGCCAGTACCCCAGTCTGTAGGACTTCCCAGCCTCCAGAACAGTGAGAAATAAATTTCTGTGGTTTATAAGCCACCCAGCTTAAGGCATTTTGTCACAGCAGCCAGAACAGACCAAGAGAGGTGCCTGTGTCTTGATCTCTAGAGAGAGCATTGGCCAAGGCCAACCCAGCCATGAGAGAGAGACAGAGAGAGGCAGGGCTGGGCTGTGGCTGGCTGGGGTGTGGACTGATCCAGAGCTGGCAGTGGGCCAGAGGAAGTTCAGCTCCCCAGGGCTTGATCTGGTGAGAGGACATGGAGGTCAGCAAACAAGTTAGGGTCCTGAGGCACCGGGTGGGGGTGGGGTTCAGCAAGGAGGTCTTGGTGGACAGGATGTGGCAGTGGCAGAGGAGCTAGTTCTCCAGAGCTGAGACCAGAGATGATACCAGGTAAGTGGCCCTTCACCTGTGCTCTGTGGCCTCACTTCTGTAGAGAATCGAGGCCAGCTTCAGGGTCAAGCTTCTCGGCTGGAAGCTGGGAGTTGTTGCTGTGGTTCACTGAGTGGCAGGGATACAGTGATGACTGAGAAAATGCTGAAGAGACCTGGAAGTCCCCCATAGAAGAAATCTGATTCTTACAGCACTGCGGAGAGGCAGTCTGGGAAGGCCTTTCTTCCCAGAGTATCTCTTCAAGGTTCTGATACACCTCACAACCCCTGCAAATACAGACAGACCGGAATGGGGCTCCCAGGTCCAGAGGAGATATTGGGAAAGGGTCCGAGGAGCAGAGCAAGATGTCTGCTTAGCCGGCAGTAGCCAGCACTCCCAGCCTGGGCAGCCAAACAGGCATCTGCAAGGGCACTTGACAATGATCGGTGGAGCAGGAGGGTGCTTGAGAGTGTGGCTGCTTAATCATGGCCTTGAGGTTTGTTGTTGTTTAAATGTCACCACTTATTTGAAACTAATTCCTGTCAGACTGCGAAAAGTTTATCAGTGTAATTGGGTGCCGGCAAAAAGCTCTCTTAAAATACACATCCTTTCATTCATAAAGCTATCAATGGGGCATTTGATTAGCATCTTTTTGACTGCCAAGGAAACCATACTGAAAGCAGGGCATGCATTCAGAACAAAGAACTCCAGCTCGTGGGTGAAAACTCTGCGATAGCCATATCTCCCCCACCAGATAGTGTGCTTTGTGATGGCTGGCAGCCTGTGCCCCTTGGAAATGTCATTTTCAGCCCCTTCTGGGCTTGTGACTAAGGTGTGGGTGGTGGATCTACAAAGGATTTCCCAAAAAGAAGGCCTCCTTTACATACCTTTTGTTCTGTGGACTGACCCACTTGTCCCACCCACATACCTGCAGCAGGCGGGAGACTTGTGCCTTAACTGGGCAGCTGTGAGCACCAGTTTTTTTCCCCAAATTCCTGGGTGCTATCTGAGCATGCTGCCATTTGGCAGTGGGGCCTCAGTCACATCCTGATGGAGAAAATGTGAAGGTTTGTCATCAGCTTATTTAACAATTCAGAGGCTGGAGTCTATTCCACTTTTTGTCCAGTATGTAGCTTTAAAACAGTTACATATAACATGGAACAGTATGACATGAAAAGAGAGAGGTTTATAGAGGGAGATGGGAATCGTGACAGCCCCTGCTTACGGAGTTTGCCCCTCCAGTCCTGAATTCTTCTGCATCCCCACATCCTGCTTGTCTGGAAAACGGCTGCAGCTTACTACTTCGATTCTTGGCCTTCCAGAAACTGGACTCCTGGCCCATCTTTTCATCTCTTTGGAGAAACAAACAACAAACAATAATCTCGTCATAATTAAAATTCACTGTGATATAAAGCTACTCTAAAAATAGTACAATTAAAATTAAAATTTATTTCATTTCTTGAGCTGACATTTCAGACAGCCAGGGGCCTCCCACTAAACTTGAAGGTGATGAGTCTCTGCTCAGTCTTACCTCCCGGGCTTCTGTTCCAGCATGAGTCTGAGCTCCATTCAACTCTTCCCGGGCCTTTTCAGCTCTAGGTGTAAAGGTTCAGTGTGAACTCGTAGAAAGAAGACAGGCTTTTCAGTCAACAGATCTGAATTCTTACACGCACTGTCTCATAGTCCTTGGTCTCAGTTTCCATGTTTGTACAGTGAGGATCATGGGTTCCAAGGATTTGGGTTCCAAGGTGGGGTTGGACAATGAAACCATAGCTGTCCAGTGTGGTGGCCATGGGCCACATGTGACTTCTGAGCACGTGAAATAGAACTGGCACAAATTGAGATGTGCCAAGTGTAAATTACACATTGAATTTCAAAGACAGCCCCTACAAAGAATGTGAAGTGTCTCATTAATAATTTTGTATATTGATTATATGTTGAAATAGCAATATTTTAGATATATTGGGTTAAAGTATGAAAATCAACATCAATCTTTTCGTTTTACTCTCACTATTTTTTAGAGCAGCTTTATAGTCACAGTGAAATGGAGTAGAAAGAACCCAAATGACCACTCCATCTGTCCTAAGCCAGTCTGAGGGCTTTCTGTCCAGCCCTAACGCTGTACCATGATCCTCACTGTACAAATATGGAAACTGAGACCAAGGACTATGAGACAGTCCTTATAAGAATTCAGATCTGTTGACTGAAAAGCCTGTCTTCTTTCTACGAGTTCACACTGAACCTTTACACCTAGAGCTGAAAAGGCCCAGGAAGAGTTGAATGGAGCTCAGACTCACACTGGAACAGAAGCCCAGGAGGTGAGACTGAGCAGAGACTCATTACCTTCGAGTTTAGTGGGAGGCCACTGGGCTGTCTGAAATGTCAGCTCAAGAAATGAAATAAATTTTAATTTTAATTGTACTATTTTTAGAGTAGCTTTATATCACAGTGAATTTTAATTATGACGAGATTATTGTTTGTTGTTTGTTTCTCCAAAGAGATGAAAAGATGGGCCAGGAGTCCAGTTTCTGGAAGGCCAAGAAGGACTTCCCGTATCCTTCCTGGGCCCCAAACATGCACAGCCTCCCCGTTAGCTACACTGTCCACTAGAGTGGTGTGTTTGTTACAGTTGATGCCAGACTCCATGGTTCGGGGTTTGCTCTTGGTGTTGTACATTCTATGGATTTGGACAAATGCATCATGACACGTAACCACCATTATAGTATCACACAGAATAGTTTCATGGCCCTAAAAATCCTCCGTGTCTTACCTATTTATCACCTCCTTTCCTGTTAAACCCTGGCAACCACCGATCTTTTTACCATCCCCGTAGTTTTGCCTTTTCCGGAAAGCCATGTAGTTGGAATAATACTGTATGTTGTCTTTCATATTGGCTTTTTTCACTTAATAATAAGCATTTAAAGTTCCTCCATTTCTTTTCATGGCTTGACAGCTCATTTCTTTTTAGAGCTGAGTGATATTCCATTGTCTGGATGTGCCAAAATTTATTTATCCACTCACCTACTCGAGGACATCTTGGTTGCTTCCAAGTTTTGGCAATGATGAATAAAGCTACTGCTGTAAACATCCATGTGCAGGTTTTTATGTGAACATAAGCTTTCAACTCCTTTGGGTAAATATCAAGGAGTACTTTTGCTGGATTGTATGGCAATGGTGTGTTTAGTTTTGTAAGCCACTGCCAAACTTCAGCCGATTCCTGGTTTCCCTATTCTCGGCAGGCTGGCCTCACAAAGTTCGTCTCCTGCAGAGCTCCAAGGAAGCTGGTTTTGGCTGAATCTGAAGATGATCAACACTGGTAGGATGCTGCTGTGTCATAGACTGGAACCCCAGCTCCTGATCATGCTGGAGTGGGGCTGCTGCTCCCTGCAACCCCACCTGCCTCCCCCTTGAGCTGGAAGAGAAGGGCTGATGGCCAGAGTTCTGCCATACCCCACTACGATCAGATCAAGCTCTGATCCCACCAGGCCAGGGGCTGTGCTTCCTTGATCATATAAGCCCAAGGTCCGGGGTCGCTCTCCTGGAGTCTGACATCAGCCCGGCTAGGTCCCAGTGCGCTGCCCTGGAAGGGTCAGAACGCTTGTTCCTGAGATTATCTCTGTGGATTTTCCCTGATGAACTCTGATCTAGCAGGAAGTGTATGGGCTGCTAAGTACTTTTCCCTTGTTTGCTCAAGGAGTTTGCGGCCCCAAGATCATTTCCAAAGCCTTTTGCTTCAGCTTGCTAAAGGGAGGCTGCTCTCACTCTCTTCAGCTTGCTAAAGGGAGGCGGAGTTCTGAGGAAGGCAGGCACCTTGAGGGATGTTGAAAGTTGCCTCTGTTTGCTGTGCCTACCACCTCCTTCTAGTCCTCCTCTCGCCGCCCAGATCACCCCCTACAATGCATTACCCATGCCTGCCCCCCACCACCCAGAAGCTATGGGGGCTCTGGTCCAAGCCCCACACTTGTCCGAAAGAGGTGCCTGGGCCCCACAGAAGCCTTGTCGGATGATGGCAGCTGTCTTCTGATAGTTCAATGGATCTGCCACCTACACAGAGAGGTCTGGAAGTCGCTAACTCTCTTTGAGTCTCAGATTCCATAGTAGTCAAATGAAGGGTTTGAACCAGAATATTTTCAAGAATTTGTGCTCTTCTAAGAGTCCATGGTTTTTTTAAAAGTTAATTTAAGTTTTAAAATTTATTTTTTATTTTACTTAAACATTTTTATTTATTTTTTAAAATCTTTTATTTTAGGTTTCAGGGTACATGTGCAGGTTTGTTACATAGGTAAACTTGTGTCATGGGGATTTGTTGCACAGATTATTTAATCACTCAGGTACTGAGCCTAGTACCCAACAGTTATTTTTCTGATCCTCTCCCTCCTCCTACTCTCCATACTCAAGTAGGCCCCAGTGTCTGTCGTTCCCCTCTTTCTGCCCATGGGCTCTCATCATTTAGCTCCCACTTATAAGTGAGAACATGTGGTATTTTGTTTTCTGTTCCTGTGCTAATTTGCTAAGGATAATGGCCTCCAGCTCTAGCCTACACTATGGAATACTATGCAGCCATAAAAAAGAACAAGATCATGTTCCTGTAAAGGACATGTTCCTGTAAAGGACATGATCTCATTCTTTTTTATGGCTGCATAGTATTCCATAGTGTATATGTACCACATCTTCTTTATCCAATCTACCATTGATGGGCATTTAGGTTGATTCCATGTCTTTGCTATTGTGAATAGTGATGCAATGAACATGTGCATGCATGTGTCTTTATGGTAGAACGATTTATATTCCTTTGCGTATATACCCAGTAGTGGGATTTCTGGGTTGAATGGTAGTTCCGTTTTTAGGTCTTTGGGGGAATTACCTCACTGTTTTCCACAATGATTGAATTAATTTACACTCCCATCAACAGTGTATAAGCATTCCTTTTTCTCTACAACCTTACCAGCATCTGTTATTTTTTGAGTCTATGATTTATCTTTGTGGGAAATAGAGTAATTTTAAGGCCCTCCAACCTCTCCATGGAATGAAGTAGAGATCTGCCAGCAAAGCCAGCATCAGGACCGAGTAGAATATCCAGTACATGGCAGGTGCTGCGTGATTTTTGTTAAAATCATAATCTCATTTTAAGAGGACTGTCCTACACAGGCCAAGCTTGATTCCATGGCTCTTCCAGTTAATTTCCTCATCTAAGTTAGTATTAGCCATGTCCACATCTGAGCTGTGCTATTAAAAGCCAGACCAGCAGCCTCATTGCTCCCATCGACGGGCATATGGTACTAGATAAAAAGCCATAAATGTCCAAACTGTTGAGAAAAAATGTGAGATGAGTTGAGGGGGACACAGGTTGCCAGCCTGCCACTCTGGGCCCCGTGCTGGCCTGGGTGCAGCCCTGTGTCCTGTGTTGCTGACCTGTCTCCCAGTGTCAGGCTTGGGCCTCCCTAGGAAAATTTTCCACGGGGCTCTGGGCCTCCTCCTCCCTCCTGCCTTGCCTGAACTGGCCCCACACTCAGGACTGGGGAGTGTCAAAGTGTCTGAGCCTGGGGGAAGGAACAAATGCAAAGCACGTGAGGATTCCTCCTCTGGGGAGAGTTTATCCCATAAGTAATGACATCACGGTTCCCCAGCCTTCCAGGATGGCATCCTCAAGGTCATCTTCATCCTCTCTTCCTCTACAGGCTCTGCCACTGCAGCTACAAACTGCAGCGAAGGCCCCCATTAGGAAAAATACTCCCCACGACTTTGCCAGCCCCTGTTCTGGACCTTCTTCCCCTCAGAGCCAAGCCCCACAAGAGTGTTCTACACTCCTGGCCACCACACTCTCACTTTCTCTTTGCTTCTCAGCTGACAGGCATTTTCACTTCTGTGACTGCTGAAACTGCTCTGCATAAAAGCCCATCTCTACTAAAGATAAAAAATTAGCTGAGTGTGATGGTGGACACCTGTAATCCCAGCTACTTGGGAGGCTGAGGCAGGAGAATCACTTGAACCCAGGAGGCGGAGGTTGCAGTGAGCCGAGATCACACCATTGCACTCCAGCCTGGGCACTAAGAGCAAAACTCTGTCTCAAAAAAAAAAAAAAAAAAAAGCACAAGTGGCATGGTCTTGCCATGCGATTTGGGTCCTTGCAATACTTGATCTTTGCAGCTTCATTCTTGACATCACCTCCCTGAAATCTCCTCTTCCCTTAGCTCCCATGGCATGACTCCAGCTAGGTCCTCTGTCCCTCATATGCCAGGCTTTCCTGGTTCTGCTGTAGCTTTTGTGTCCTGCCCCCAACACCCTCCATAAGCAATTGCAACTGTGCCCCGTTCCCAGACTCACACCTTCTCCAGTCTCCGTCTACCTGCAGGCTGGACGCCTCCACGGCATGTTCCACACATACCTCAAGTGCAAGTCCAAAGCAAAATATGGTCCTTCTCAGATTCCAGCTGGATTTTCCATCACAGTTATTCCTATTGTGAACCACTGAATTGCCTAGTTAGGGGCATCTGATTCAGACTTGTTCCTTTAGCTTGGACTATGTCAAGAACCTCCCTCAATGACATCTCTGCCACCAGGCCTTTTGTCCAGCGATCCTTTCTCTGGACAACGTCTCACATCTGACCTTGACTCTCCCACTCAGCGGTTCCTGCCCTCTGCAGGATGGGGTCCCCGTGCTTTCACATGGCCCCTGGCCATTCACAGCTTCCCCCTGGCTGGCCTTCCTCTCCTGCTTGTTCCAGCACCCCCTCACTCCCACCCCATGCTTGAATCCACAGACTCCTTATTTTTGGGTCCTCACATATGCCACACTGTGCCCAGCTCAATGCCTTCCGAATCTCATGCTTTCCAATTCCAAGTTTACCTTCTCTGAAAACTTTTCCTGGCTCCCTTGTTTCGTGTCTGCATCCCTGGATTTTGCACTTTGCCTTGTTCCTGTTGGGCACTTAGGGAATCTTAGAGCTGGAAGGATGCAAGAGAGTCTCCATCTTTTCACCTGGCTGTAACCCCGGCAAACAAAGGGTGTAGGTTGTTATCTCCTGGGCAGCTGGCACAGTGCCTGGCCCAGAATAATGCCCCCTGAGAGGACAGTAAATTGGTTTCCACCATGAAGAACAGATATTGGAGCTTGAAGGTGAGCTAGCCTCCAACAGGGGACCAGGGAGGTGCTAGGCCAGCGAGCCCACCTTCCCCACGATGCAGCCAATCAAGACTCCAGAGGGCTCCAGCAACAGCATGAAAAAAATAGCTCTCCATACAAAGCATGGAAACTAGACTTTAGGGCCTAGGGGAATGGGGCTTGTCTGCCTCTATTTAAGAAAGCAGGACAGGCCGGGCATGGTGGCTCACACCTGTAATCCCAGCACTTTGGGAGGCCGAGGAGGGTGGATCATGAGGTCAGGAGTTCAAGACCTGCCTGGCCAACATGGTGAAACACCGTCTCTACTACAAATACAAAAAATTAGCCAGGCGTGGTGGTGGGCGTCTGTAATCCCAGCTACTCGGGAAGCTGAGGCAGAGAAATGCTTGAATTTGGAGGGAGGAGGTTGCAGTGAGCCGAGATCATGCCACTGCACTCCAGCTTAGGCGACAGAGTGAGATTCCATCTCAAAAAAAAAAAAGAAAAGAAAAGAAAGCAGGACAGTATATTGCAAATTAAGCTCAATAAAAAGAGAGAAAGAGAGGGAGAGAGAGAGAAAGAGGGAGGGAGGAAGGGAGGGAGAGTGAGAAGGAAAGGGGCAGTCAGGCAGACCATGGTCCCCTGCCAATTCTCTGGGCACCGGTGGAAGCAAGTTCTGCGTCTTGGGCACAGTACTTTATCACCTGATTGTACTTCCTCCACCTTTCCCCAGGCAGAACTATTGACCCAGGGATCTATAACATTTGTATATATCAACACAGAAACCAATTAACAAATGCTTATATTCCTGTGCAAATATGCAAACTTCCTTCTGCAGACAGGGGTAAGCAGACACCTGGCAGTATTTTTAGAAATATTTAAGAAACACAGTTCAGGTAAGAAGCAGGCTGCTGTACCCTCCTCCGAGAGGACCAGTACCTAGAACCACCTGTTTTTCTTTGTCTTCCCTGCTCTGCTCTGAGCGTGGGGATGGTCCTTATCCTTAGCTTCATCTTTATTAAAGCTGGCATTTTCAGCTGGGTGTGGTGGCTCACGTCTGTAATCCCAGCATTTTGGGAGGCCAAGGTAGATGGATCACTTGAGGTCAGGAGTTTGAGATCAGCCTGGCCAACATGGTGAAACCCCGCCTCTGCTAAAAATACAAAAATTAGCCAGGCGTGGTGGCATGTGCCTCGAGTCCCAGCACTCGGGAGGCTGAGGCACCAGGATTGCTTGAACCCTCTGCAGTCAGCCAAGATTGCTTCACGGCACTCCAGCCTGGGGGACAGAGACTCTGTCTCAAAAAAAGAAAAAAAAAACAGCTGGCATTTTCTTCAGTTCTTATGCTGTGCCAGATACATGCATTTACTCACTTCACAATGAGAGGGAAGCCACTATGTTTGTCATCAGTGAAGCAGGGTAATTTGGGAAGCATTATCCAACACCACCTACTATGGGCCAGGCCCATGGCAACTGGAAGCAGCACTACTCAGAAGGAAAAGGCATGTGGAGAAGCTCAGAGCTGACAGGGGAGTCTATATTTGATTGTAAGATTTCTGTACAAAATGCCTTTCTGTGTGCTGTATCATGTAGTGAAAGATAAGAAACAATAGAATGTCCAGCAATCAGAGAAGGCTTGACAAGACAGGCTACTTTTTAACAGCACTGAGAAAAGCTTGCTATCTATTAAATATTTTAAAATCAGTTGCTAAGCCGCAGAGTAAGCACCTCATTATTTGGAAATGCACTTATACATTCACAGAAGCAACACCCCTGGAGGGAAATACCCCAGTGATCATGGGATTGTAGTAACATTTTTGTTTGTACTTTTTATATTCCTTAAATTTAAAATTCCTTATGAATAGGTGAAAAGCCTGTCCAGGAAGCTTTGTAGGGTCCCCTGAGTTCTTGGTGTTCTGTCAGTGGAGGCTGGTTTGAGTCATTCCTGTAAGAGAGCTACCCAAAACAAAATGAAGGGGAAGCAGGAGATGCAAGCTTCTAAGCCTCTGACACCTTTTGCAAAATTGCTTTCCTGCAATGCTGTGCTGCTTCACCTGCTCCCCCACCAGCTGGTGTGAGAGGTACAGGGTTTGGAGCAGACAGCTGTGTTCTGAAGGGATGGCATTCTGTCTGGTGACACTTAGTGGCAGTCCACTTTTCTCCCACAGATTGCTGGCTGATCTAGTTGCCAAGGCTCCTGAGTAGGTGTTATCTCCAAACATGCAGTCATGGTTAAGAGATGAGAAATACACGTGTTTGGACAAGAGACTGGAGCACAGTTCAATCAGCCTCAGCAACATTATCTCTAAAAGCAAATGAGTCCTGCTGTTGCTGGGGACCTACTCCTCTGCCTTGGCTGGAAGTGTTTGAGTCTGTCTGAACGGTCTGTTATCTCCAGGGCAACATAAAGTTTGCAGGAGGCCTGTTCACTCCAGGTGTTATCGCTGTCGCTGAGATGGTGCTAAGCCTACAGGCGGCAGGAGGCCAATTGCTAAGGCAGAGGGAGCCTTTAGTGGGGAGCCAGGCAGCCTGGGGACCCTGGGCCACAGCTTCCTTCCCTATGACATGCACTCTCATGCCCTTCCCACTCAAACATCCAGTCATTCTGCACGTCCTGGTAGAGGGAGATGCCAGGCGAACCCTCGGGGTAACCCCAGCACCTGGAAAAACTCCTCAGTGGGTTTGCTCAGTGTCATTTAAGGATCCCAACCTTGAAGGTTTTGGACTTGGGATCACACATTGTTTCATTCAGAGTGTTAGGATAGGGGTCTGTATAGTTCAGGCATCTCAAGTTAGAGATGAGAAACCAGACTCAGAAGTCTGACGGTCCTTGGAGGCCGGCCGAGAGAAAGACCTGAGGCTCCCCGTCTCCCTGCCTGGGCACCTCATACCACCTTGCTTTTCCCTGCCCCATGTCAAGAGCAAGCTGGAGCCGAATTTGGGGCTCCCAGTTGGGCTCCAAGTGTGATTTCCTCCACACTTGATGACCAGGAGGCCATTTGTAGGAGGCTGGGATGAGCAAAGTGGGTCAAAGTGCCCCCTGCCTCCAAATGCTCGCGTGGAGGTTGGGCAGTCAGACACCATGGGGGAGAAACCCCAGGACTTTAGCAGAACAAAAGAAGGGCACCCTCCCTTCCTGGGCCCTGCCAGACCCTTGGCAGAAGGCCAGGGCTACTCATGGGGCGGGGAGTGGGGGAAGGAGGGAGGAGCAGGGATGGTCTGTTCCAGCCCTCCTGTGTTCATCCTGAGCCGAGTCACTGAGGCCTGCAGCACAGCTATGACACAACTTTTGGGGTGTCCTGGTAGGAGGGCTTTGGGCTACAGGTGGGGCATTGGAAGCAGATTTCTCTCTATAGTAAGGCAGTAGATCCCCAGGCCTTGCCCTCTGTTCCTGAAAATGTGAGTTGTACCTTGAACCACAAAATGGCTGTGGGGTGCAGCTTGGTGTGTTGGAAGGAGGGCTTTGGATGTGGGCTGCAACTGCATCATCCTTGCTCAGTTCTCATGTGGCAGGTGTGCTCCTGCCTGGTCCGGGGCAGTCTGGCAGGCTGCTCTGTAGCCCCAAGCCTGGATCTGCCAAAACTGGCAAGGAGTGGAGGCCTCCCCGTGGAGCAGTGCCTGAACCTGCAGCCCCTGGGGCAGACACTCCTGGCTCCTGGGCACTCACTCACCATGGCTCCCCACTTTCTTAGTTGGCTCGGGCCGCTATTGCAGAATGCCATACACCACGTGGCACGTGGACAACATAAGTTTATTTCTTACAGTTCTGGAGGCTGGGAAGTCCAGGATCAAGTAGCTGAAACAGATTTGGTTTCTGGTGAGGGCCTCTTACTCTTTCATAGATGGCGCCTTCTTGCTGTGTCCTCCTATGGCAGAAGGGGTGAGGGATCTCTCCAGGGTCTTTTATAAGGGACCTAATCACCCCTGCACAACCCAGCCTCCTAATAGCATCACCTTGAGGTTTAGGATTTCAGCACATGCACTTTGGGTAAACACCGTCAATCTAGAGCATCCTCCCCCCGCATCATGCTGGCTTCCGGACTCTGCTCCCAAGTGAATGTCCACACCCAAGGGGGGCCCTGAGTCTTCCTTAAGTCTCTTTGTCTAGGACAGACTGTGCTGAAAGGGCCCATCTAATCTCCTGATATGGTTTGGCTGTGTCTCCATCCAAATGTCATCTTGAATGATAGCTCCCATAATTCCCACATGTCGTGGGAGGGGCCTGGTGGGAGGTAATTGTATCATGGGGGCAGGTCTTTCCCATACTGTTCTCGTGATGCTGAATAAGTCTCATGAGATCTGATGATTTTATAAAGAGAAGTTCCCCTGCACATGCTCTCTTTTGCCTGCCACCATGTAGGATGTGACTTTGCTCCTCATTCACCTTCCACCATGATTGAGAGGCCTCTCCAGCCATGTGGAACTGTGAGTCGATTAAACCTTTTTCTTTTACCCAGTCTTGGATATGTCTTTATTAGCAGTGTGAGAATGAGCTAATACATCTCCTGACAGCCTGGGCCCCACCCACCCCCACCCCTCAACCCTCCTCAGTCTGTCCTTGTACAGGTTCCTTCTCCTGCAGCCCCATCTCGCTTCATGTGACTTCTTTCTTCCTTAAACTCTCTGCACTCTCTCCTGCTCCCAGGATTTTGTATCTGCAGTTTCCTCTGCCTGGAATGTACTCCACCTGGCCTACAACTCCCAGCTAGCCTGGAGTGGAGAGCTTCTATGTCACTCCCTCTGGGATGCTCTTGCTGACCCCCAAGACTGGCTCAGGCCCTGAGTTCGACCCTCTTGTGGTTCAGAGAATTCCTGGGCATAGCCATGCCCTCACTTGTGCTTCCACTGCCACATGGGGTTGCTGGACTGTTGTCCACTTCCTCAGGGGCATCTGCTTCCTCAGAACAGGGCCTGGGCATTTTGTCACCTAGGATTCCAGTGCCAGCACAGAGAGTGGGCTCAGCTGCAGACACTCAGCAATGTTGACTGAATCAGGAGGCAGCAGGTGACTCGATGTTATGGGCTCACGGGAAAACCCCTCTCCTCTTCAGAGGGCCTTACCCTGAGGCGGCCTCACCCCAGTTGTCTTCACTGGGTAAGGGTCTCTTTGCCCACCCGCTGCTGCCTCACTAACCTTCCTGGCCTCAGACAAATCTAAACTCAAGTCAAAACCAGGGTGAAGATGGGCCTACGTCAGCTCCAGAGAGGGACAGCCTGAGTTCCCCTCCCTCTGGTCCCATTTCCTTGGGAGGATCAGCCTCTTCCTGGATGATGACACCAGGGCTCTTCACCCACTAGGGAGGGGTCCAGCCCATGTCTGTGGCTCTGGTCTGGGCCCTGAGGGGACACACAGTAAGTGGCAAACACAGACGGACCAGGCCGAGAGCAAGACAACATCCTCAATGGTTAAGATGTATAGGCCAGAGGGAAATTGATCAGGAAATGAACTTAGAAGTATCCAGGGACTGATGGGGAAGGAGCTGTATTTGGAGGACCTGTGATGCAAGTTACAGAATCAAAGATGTGGCCCCTGGTTTTGCTGTGTCCTCCTGGAATGGGTAGCAGGACAGGAGCCACCATGCAGAGGGTGGTCACACACTCGGGCTTGCTTTAACCTGGGTCTTTCCTTACCAATGCATTTCTGGCTACACTGGGGAAAACGAGGTGGCTAACACATTTTTTTTAGGTGTTAGAAGACCTGTGTGCACTTTCTCTCTTTCTCCCTGCACTCCAGCCACACTGGCCTTTGAGTTTGTAGAATGCCTACACTCTGCTCTGCCTCAGGGCCTTTGCACGTACTGTGCTCACTTTATGGAAAGCTTTACTCTCAATCTCATCCAATCTCTTTAATTATTTGAATGCTATCCATCCTTCAACATTCAGTTCAAATATCATAGCCAGTAAAATCTGCTGTAATAAACTCTCTTAGTTTCCTCCAATTTTTCTTCCTAATATTTATCTCAGTTTGTAGTCATGTATTCTTGCGATGGTTGGGCTAATATCTGCCTCCTCACTAGTGTTTAACCTCTAGTAAACACTAGAGGTTTAATCTCTGAGGTCACATCTCTGAGGGCAGAGATATGAGTGACCGGTCCAGTCTTATTCCCAACATCAAGGCCAGAGCCTGTCAGGCAGCAAATGCTTAGTAAGCATTTGTTGAGTTGACTTTGAATTGTCAGAGCCAGAGGGTCGGTTTAGCATTGACACATGGGGGACATCATGGGAGAAGCCACGTTTTGTTAGGACCTGGCCCTGGGGAGATTTCTTAAGCCAAAGGCTTTGGGTCTGCCACCCTTCCATCCAAGGAGAAGTCTGAAGACAGGGTCAGCATTTTGTTTGTCCTCCACAGTTGCTAACTTTTTTTTTATTTTTTGAGACAGAGTCTCCCTTTTTCACCTAGGCTGGAGTGCAGTGGCATGACTTCAGCTCACTGCAACCTCCGCCTCCCGGGTTCAGGCAATTCTCCTGCCTCAGCCTTCCGAGTAGCTGAGATTACAGGCATGTGCCACCAAGCCCAGCTAATTTTTGTATTTTTAGTAGAGACAGGGTTTCACCATATTGGCCAGGTTGGTCTTGAACTCCTGACCTTGTGATCCACCCTCCTCGGCTTCCCAAAGTGCTGGGATAACGGGCATGAGCCACCGAGCCTGGCCCACAGTTGCTAACTTTTAACACACAGGACATTTCATGTAAAAATTGTGACTTGCAGCTTCTTTTGAAGAATCTGAAGTCAAGCAGCCCTGGCCTGCATTTGTGCATGGCTACCTTTGTGGGATCTTGGTCACAGCTGACCCTTTGGGTGGGCATGCTACTCTTCAGTTAGTTGGGCCCTCTTCACTAGTTTTTTCACTAGTTTTTAGCACCTGCTTGCCCCTGTTAGCAGGTATGGACTTTTACCTGAACACTCAGATTAGAAAGAGATGGAAAAACCACATGGCCTTGCAGAATAAGGGAGATCTCATCTCCATGCAATGAGGAATCAGTGGCAGGCCTCTTTGCAGAACCTCCCTGGAAGGGAATTGCTATGGTTGCATGTGTCCCACAAAGTTTATGTGTTGGAAACTTAATCCCCAATGCAGCAGTTTTGAGAGGAGGGAGTAATGTACAGAAAAATATCCAGAAATCTGTACAGTTGATATGGCTTGGCTCTATGTCCCTACCCAAATCTCCTGTTGAATTGTGGTCTTTAGTGTTGGAGGAGAGGCCTGGGGGGAGATGATTAGATCATGGGGGCAGATTTCCCCCTTGCTGTTCTTGTGATAGTGAGTGAGTTCTCATGAGATTACCACTTCCCCTCCTGCTCCGCCATGTGAAGGATGTGTTTGCTTTCTCTTCCCCTTCTTCCATGATTTTAAGTTTTCTGAGGCTTCCCCAACCATGCTTCCTGTACAGCCTGTGGAACTGTGAGTCAACTAAACCTCTTTAACTCATAAATTACCCAGTCTCAGGTCATTCTTTATAGCAGTGTGAGAACAGATTAGTACAACAGGGTTCCCCATGGATCTGTTATAAAAATTAGGTTGTGGATGTCTATCATGAAACTCCAGGAGGCTGGGCAAAGGGTGATTGGAAAGCAGTGAGCAGGCACTTTCAGAGCTCATGTGGGACATGGGGGGGACCCCTGCATTCCTACCAGCCAGAGTGGAGCGTCCTTGTAGAAAATCTGGTGCGTTCAGTTGAGATCCCAGAAAAGTCATGTCTTGGCAGGAGGAGTAAAGAAGCCCTAAATAAAGTCTAATCTAACCCCTTTCCTTCAGTCAAAGCTTCAAAACAAACCTCAAAAGGGTCAGGGTAATTTCTAAGTAACTCAGCTGGCTGCCAGAAAAATATCTACCAATCTTTAGAGGAGGACAACAAAATCTAGCATTAAGTAAGGTATAATTAACAATGTTTGGTGTCATATAAGAAATACAGACATGTAAAGATGCACAGAAGTGCAACTCCTACCAAGAGAAAAACCAGTCAATAGAAACACACTCAGGAATGATGGATGTTGGAAATAGCACACAAAGGATTGAAAACACCAATTACAGATATACACACGAATTTAAAGGAAACATGAAAGTAATCATCAAAGAAGGAGAAAAATTAAAAAGGAAATACAAGGGCCAAAAATAAAAATCTTAAATAAAAAAATTTCTTTATGAAATGAACAGATTAGACGTGAAGAAGAAAAGATCAGTGAACTTGAAAGTTGCAATAGAAACTTTCAAAACTAAAATTCAGTCAAAAGAGACTAAAAAGAAAATTTAAATGAATCTTTAGTAACCTGTGGGAAAATATTCATGCAAGTATATGGATCACATACTTGTAATTGGAAGCTGAGAAGGAAAGGAAAGAGGGAAGAGAAAAAATATTTGAAGAAATAATGGTAAAAAATGCTCCAAATTTGATGAAACATACAAAACCACCCATCCATGATGCTCAATAGATCAAAAGCAAGATAAGCACAAAGAAAACTATGCAAGGTAAAACATAATCCAATTGCTAAATGCCAGTGGCTAAGAAATGTGGGTGGGCTTCATCAAATCTATTGAAGATCTGAATAGAACAGACAGACTGACTCTCCTGCAAGTAAGAGAGAATTTCATCCTGCCTGACTGCTTTGAGCTGGGAGGTGGTTTTTTTTTTCCTGCCATTTTTGAACTGAAGTATCAGCTTTTTATGAGTCTTGAGCCTGCCAGCCTTTGAACTGGAAGTACACCATTGGCTCTGCTGTTTCCAGCTTACTAACTGCAGATTTTGGGACTTGTCAGCCTCAATAATCATAGGAGCCAATTCCTTACACACACACACACACACACACACGTTATGCATATGTACAAAATTATATATAGTTATATATTATATTTAAGTATAATCATATCTATCTATTCCAAAATTGGGTCTCTAATCTGATTACACTTTAAGTTGCTAATAACTTTATTTCCAATTGTAAAGAGAGCACTAATAGTCCATGGCATGATCTAGCAATAAAGATATCACCACTGGATACTCCTAATCAACCCCTTATAAGAGACAAGGAGCTGGGTAACTGTGTATACTTTCAATTATTTTCCTCACACTAACAAATATAATAAGACTCACCAGGTGTTTCTAATGTGAAGTGATACTAAGTGGACAAAGGATGAAAAACACTTAATGGTAAGTATGTGGGTAAATACAAAGGCTTTTCTCATTTTTAAATTTCCTTAAAAGATAATTGATTGTTTAAACAAAAATAATAACAACGTACTGTGTGGCTTATAACATATTAAAGCAAAATATGTAATGATAGCATGATGGACAGAATGGAGGAAACAGAAGTATATGGTTGTAAGGTCTTACATTGTACATAAAGTGTTATAATAGTATATTTGTAATGAGCTAATGATACATATTGTATACCCTCATGCAACCACTAAACATGAAGCCAGAGTTATAGCTAATGAACTCACAGTGGAGATAAAATAGAACCATAAACATTTTTAATTCCTCTAAAAGAAATCAAGAAAAGAGAAATAAAGGATGAAGAACAGATGAAATAAACAGAGAACAAATGACAAATGGTAGATTTATACCCAACTATACTGATAATTATATAAAATGAAAATGGTCTAAAAATTCCAATAAAAAGACAAATATTTTTAGACTGTATAATAAGGCAAGACTCAACTCTATGTTGTCTGAAGACCTCAATAATTTAAAGGCACAGGTAGGTCAAAAGTAAGAGGATGGAAAAAAATATACCATGTAGCACCAATTATAACAAAGTTGGAGGGGCTAGTTAAATATCAGAAAAAGTAAACTTCAGAACAAGAAATATGCAGAACAAGAAATAAACGAGAACATTTCATAATGATAAATTTATCAGAAAGAGAAAAATTGTAAACATATATTCACCTAATAATAGAACTTCAAAATATGACAAAGAAATGGACAGAAATGAAGGGGGAAGTAGAGAAATCTACACTTATATTTACAAATTGTCATACTTGTTTCTCAGTAACTTATAGAACAAGTAGAAAAAATGAATAAAGGGGAAGGACACTTGAACAATACTACTAACCAACTTGATTTAATTGATGCCTATAGAA
The DNA here is from genome assembly GCF_000001405.40 of Homo sapiens. Taxonomy (NCBI): domain Eukaryota; kingdom Metazoa; phylum Chordata; class Mammalia; order Primates; family Hominidae; genus Homo; species Homo sapiens. The sequence goes on from NW_021160001.1 coordinate 168,696, forward strand.
CCTTCTACCTAAATACAGATTTTTAGGTGTAGTGTTCTATATCCTAGGAATGCAAAGTCAGTTTAATCAACAGCGCAATAAATCAATCAACGCAATTCACCATATTCATAGAATCCACATTGTTTCCAACTGAACACAAAACTTTCATTATAATGGACCATATCTGGGGCAGAAAACAACTTTATACATTTAAGAGGACCAAAATAATATAGAACATGTTATCTAAATTCAGTGGAACTAAAATAGAAGTTAATAGCAGAAGGATATCTAGAAAATCCCCAAGTATTTGGAAACTGAGCAACATGCTTTTAAATAATACATGGATCAAAGAGAAAATCACAAAAGATATTTTAAAATAATTTTTCCTAAATAAGAATTAGAACACAGACTATCAAAATTTTTGTAATGATTAGAGACAAATTTATAACTTTAAATGATTTTTATTAGAAAATATAAAAAGTCCAAGGTCAATGATTTAAGCTTTACTTTTAGAAGTTGGAAAAAGAGGAGCCAATTAAACCTAATGTAAGTAGAAGAAAGGAAATCAAGTTAATAGCAGAAAACAATGTAATAGAAAAAGGAATAATAAAGAAAGTCAATAAGATAAAAAGTTCTTTGAAAAGATCAATAAAATTGATAAACTCCTAATAAAAAGTCATAAAACAAACTACCAACATCACTAATAAAAGAGGGAATAAAAATTACAGACTATGTAGAGATTAAAGAAATAATATGGGGATATTATAGAAGCTTTACGGCAACAAATTTGACAACCCAGAGGAAATGGGAAAATTTTTCAAAAGAAAAATTACTAAAGCCCAGTGAAGAAAAAATAGATAATCTGAATAGCTTTATAACCGTTAAAGAAATTAACTTTGTAATTAAAAACCTTCACACAAGGAAAATTCCGGGCTCCAGTGACTTCTCTAGTGAATTCAATCAAATATTTAAGGAAGTAGTAGTATCACTTTTATACAAACTTGCAGAAAGTAAAGGAGGAGGAAAGACTTTCTAACTTAATTTATGGGATCAGCATAATCCTGATATCAAACTCAGAGAAAAGATACTACAAGAAAAAAATCTTATAGGCCAATGTCCACAAGGAATATACATGCAGCTGGGCACCATGCTCACGCCTGTAATCCCAGCACTTTGAGAGGCTGAGCTGGGTGGATCACTTGAGGCCAGGAGTTCAAGACCAGCCTGGGCAACATGGTGAAACCCCATCTCTACTAAAAATACAAAAAATTAGCTGGGTGTGGTGGTGTACGCATGTAATCCCCGCTACTCAGGAAGCTGAGGCAGGAGAATCACTTGAACCTGGGAGGTGGAGGTTGCAGTGAGCTGAGATCGTACCACTGCACTCCAGGCTGGGAGACAGAGCAAGACTCTGTCTCCAAAAAAAAAAAAAAAAAAAAAAAAAGGAATATACATGCAAACATCCTTAAAATATTTCAGTATGTTGAATCTAGGAATATATGTAGAGGGTAATACACTATGACCAAGAGTGCTTATCCTAGAAATGCAAAGTTAATCAGTGCAATTGACCAATCAATGAATGCAATTCTAGCAGTTTAAAGCAGAAAACCCAGGTGATGATCTAGATAGATGTTATAAAAGCATTTGACAATATGCAATACTCATTCACGATGTACTTTTTTTTAAAAAAATAAAATCCTCTTAAAACACTGGCGTAGAAGGGAAATTCATCAACCTGAAAAAATGCTGTCATGAAAAACCTACAGGTATTATCAAATTTGATAGTGAAAGACATAATGTTTTCCTCCTCAGGTTGGGAGTGAGGCAGGAATGTCCACTTTTGCCATGATCATTCAACATTGTACCAAAAGTCCTAGGTGGTGCAATAAGGTAAGAGGAAATACCGACATAAGATTCGAAAGGAGGAGGTAAAACTGAATCCATTCATAGAAGAAATAATAATGTACTTTAAAATCCTAAGGAATTTACAAAAAGTTACTAAAATAAGCGAATTTAGCAAGGTCATAAGATACAATGGTCAGTAAACAAAAGATCAGTTGTTTTCCTAAATTGTGGCAATTTGGAAGATTAAATTATATAAATAATACTGTCTATAGTACCATTTGAAAATACTTACAAGATGAGCAAAATCTCTGTGTAAAAAACTATGAAACATTGTGGAGACAAAGTGAATTGCCAATATTGTTAAGAAGTCAGCTCTCCTGATTTTTGGTTGAAATTGACAAAGCGATTCCAAAATCTACATGGAAGTACAAATAATCTAGAATAATCAAAGCAATTTTTACAAAGAATGAATGTTGAGGACTTATCTACTTTATTTCAAGATTACAGGAAAGCGAGTAATGAAGACATGTGGTATAGGTTTCAGTTTAGACAATTCGTCAGTGGAACAGAATCAGATGTCCTGTTTCTGGACATACATAATATGTTGATTCCTAACAAAGTTACCAAAGTAATTTGATGGGGAAAAAGATAGTCTTTGAATAAATGGTGCTAAAACAAGTGAAGATCTATACATGAAAAAAGTGAACTTCAACCCTTACCTATACCATAACTTGAAATGTATCACAGACAAAAATAAAAGCTAAATTTGTAAAGCTTCTAGAGAAAAACATAAGAGAAAATCTTCACAACTTGGGCAGGCAAAGATTTCTCAGGGCACATAAAATTTTCGAGGAAAAAAATTGATAAATGGGCCTTATTGAAATTAAAAGTTTTTGGTCTACAAAAGACACCATGAAGAAAATGAAAGGGCAAGTTGCAGACCAGGAGAAAATATACACAGGTATTTGGCAAAGTAATGGTATGCAAAAATTAAAAAGAACCCTGGAAGATCAGTAAGAAGAAGACAAAACAACTTTATCAAAATGGGCAGAAAATTTTGAGCAAACACTTCCCGAAACAACCAATAAACACATAAAAAGATGCACTGCAGCATTACACATCAGGGAAATGTGACGACCCCTCACACCATGAGGATGCCTGAACTTAAAGATCAACAATTCTGAATTTTTGTAAGAATCGGGAGCAACTAGAACTCTTGTACAATGTTAGTGGAAATTCAGGATTAATGCTGTCACTTCGAAAAACAGTTTGGAAGTTTCTTATGAATTTAAATATATACTTACTATACAAACCAGAAATTTCCACATCAAGTTAAAAAGCTGCACAGCAAAGGAAATGACAAAGTGAAGAGACAGCCTACAGAATGGGAGAAAATATTTGCAAACTACCCATCTGATCAATAACCAGAATCTATGCAAAGCTCAAACAACTAAATAGGAAGAAATCTAATAATATAATTAAAAATGGGTAAAATATCTGAATAGACGCTTCTCAAAAGAGGTCATACAAATGACACATAGGCATATGAAAAGGTGCTCAACATCATTGATTGTCAGAGATATGCAAATCAAAACTACAATGGGATCTCATGTCAACCCGGTTAAAGTGGCTTTTATCCAAGAAAGGCAATAACAAATGTTGGTGAGGATGTGGAGAAAAGTGAACCCTTATACACTGTTGGTGGGAATGTAAATTAATACAGCCACTAGGATGAACAGTATGGAGGTTCCCCAAACAACTGAAAATAGAACTACCCTATGATCCAGCAATCCTACTGGTAGGTAAATACCCAAAAGAAAGGAAATTAGTATATCAAAGAGACAGCTGCACTTCCATGTTTATTGCAACACTATTCACAATAGCCAAGATTTGAAATCACTCTAATTGTTCAACAATAGACAAATGGATAAAGAAACTGTGGTACATATATACGATGGAGTACGATTCAGCCATAAAAAAGAATAAGATCCTGTCATTTACAACAACATGGATGGAATTAGAGGACATAATGTTAAATGAAATAAAAAAGGCACAGAAACACAAATTTTGCATGTTCTTACTCATTTGTGGGAGCTAAAAATTAAAAATATTGAACTCATGGAGATAGAGAGTGGAATGATGGTCACCAGAGCTGGGAAAAGGTTGTGGGTGTGGAGGGTGGGAAATGGAGATGGTTAATGGGTACAAAAGTAGAGTTAAATACAATGAATAAGATGCAGTATTTGATAGCACAACAGGTTGGCCAGTCAACAATAATTTTTAGTATATTTAAAAATAAGTAAGCGTGTATAATTGGAATTTTTGTATCACAAAGAAATGATAAATGCTTGAGGTGATGGATACCTTGTTTACCCTGATGTGATTATTACGCATTGCATGCCTGTATCAAAACACCTCATGTACTCCATAAATATATACACCTACTATGTACCCATAAAAATAAAAAAAAAACAGAAATTCCTCTCCTAGGTATTTATTTATTCAAGAGGAATAAAAACACCTGTGTTCACAAGGACTTATAAACAAATATTTATAACAATTTTAGTAGCCTCAAACTGGGGAAAAACCCCAGACAGTAGAATGGATAAGCAAATTGTGATATTGCTGCAGAATGGAACACTACCCAACATTAAAGCAGGAGAGATTACAGATACACATGACAAGGAGAATGGAGCCCAGAAACATTATGATGAGTGAAAGGAGCCCACACAAGAGACTACAGTCATGGTGGTATAGTTTGGCTGTGTCCCCACCCAAATCTCATCTTGAATTCCCATGTGTTGTGGGAGGGACCCAGTGGAGGGCAATGGAATCATGGGGGCAGATCTTTACTGTGCTGTTCTCATGATAGTGAATAAACCTCATGAGATGTGATGGTATTATAAGGGGGAGTTCCCTTGCACAAGCTCTCTCTTTGCCTGCTGCTAACCATGTAAGACGCGACTTGCTCCTCCTTGCCTCCCGCCGTGATTGTGAGGCCTCCCCAGCCACCTGGAACTGTAAGTCCATTAAATCTTTTTTTTTTTTTTTGTAAATTGCCCAGTCTTGGGTATGTCTCTATCAGCAGCTTGAAAATGGATTAATACACAACGATGCTCAATGACAGTGATGCGTTCTCAGAAACACATCATTAGGGGATTTTGTCATTGTGTGAACATCATAGAGTGTACTTACACAAACCTAAATGGTACAGCCCATTACATACCTGGGCTCTATGGCATAGCCTGTTGCTCCTAGGCTACCAATCTGTGCAGCATGTGACTGTACTGAATACTGCAGGCAACTGTAACATGGTAATATTTGTATATCCAAACATAGCTAAACATAGGAAGGGTAGAGTGAAAATACAGCATAGAAGACAAAAAGTAGTGCACCTCTGTGGGGCATCTACCATGAATGAAGCTTGCAGGTCTGGAAATTGCTCTGGATGAGCTAGTGAGTGAGTGGTGAGTGAATGTGAAGTCCCAGGACATCATTGTACACTATTACAGATTTTATAAACACTATAAACTTAGGCTACACTAAATGTATTTTAAATTTTTTTCTTCCTTCAATAATAAATGAACCTTAGCTTCTTTATGTTATCAACTTTATTTTTTTAACTTTTTGACTTTTTTATATTAATACTTAGCTTAAGACACACGTTGTATAACTGTACAAAAATATTTTCTTTCTTTATATCCTTATCCTATAAGCTTTTTTTCTTTTTTTACATTTTAAATTAGAAAAAAATTAAAATGAAGACACACACATTAGCCCACACCTACCCAGGGTCAGGATTATCAATATCACTGCGTTCCACCTCCACATCTTGTCCTACCAGATGGTCTTCTGGGGCCGTCATGCACATGGAGCTGTCATCTCCTGTGATGAGAGTGCCTTGTTCTGGAATCCCTCCTGAAGAACCTGCCTGAGGATGTGTTACATTAACTTTTTCTTTTTAATAAGTAGAAGGAGTGCATTGTAAAATAATCATGAAAGTATAGTATAGTAAATACATAAACTGCTAACAGTCATTTGTTATCATTGTCAAGTACTATGCACTGTACATAATTCTATGTGCTAGATTTTATACAACTGGCAGTGCAGGTTTGTTTACACCAGCATCACCACAAACACCTAAATAATACATTGCACTAGGTTGTTGCCAGGCGATAAGATTCTTTCAGCTCCATTATAATTTAATGGGATCACCGTCTGTAGTTGACTGAAGTGTCACACAGCATGTGACTGTATGCATATTCACCTCCTAGAACCCAGACTCATACGAAGAAGTAGGGAATACCCTACTCGCAACCATGTTTTATTTCCTAGTTTCTTCCATTGGCCATTTTCTTTTTCAGGCTGGAGACTTCCCTCCCATCCCCACTGGCGTTCCCAGTCTCTCTGCCTCCTAAGTCTTCCTCTGTTGCTCTCTGGGGACCAGCTTGTGCAGCAGTTTTGTATCACTGTAGGGTAGGGCTTCAATGAGCCCTGTCCTGTGTCCTTCCCTGGCTCACTGCGTCTTACCTTCCCTTCCTCGCACAGCCCAGGGCCTGACACCACCTCCTGCAGTTGGTCATTCAGGAGCAGGGCACTCAGGGAAGGAGACGGCTCTGCTTCGAGTATAGCCTGGGCACCATCCACAAACGCCTTGGTGTTTGAACTCACCTGTGCATCCCAGATACAGGTATAGTCTCTCCAAAACAAAGGATGTAGGAAATATTTTTACTTCTCCATCTTTCCAAAGTATCCTTCCCTTAGTATCTCAGCAACCTTCCCCGGAGAGGCTCTTTGGGCTGTGGATGTAGTACCCAGTATCCTGGGCTGCAGATTCATTGATTTTCCAGGCTTTGATTGGGTATAATCATGCTCAGAGCTGAGCAAGGTTGGCAGTGAGTGGGCCACTGACATCAGCTTATTCATGATCTCTCTGTGCTCCGATTCTGACATGAACTTCCTTTTCTGTCTCAGAGGAGAGAGATTTCAGGGCTGTGAGCCTGAGGATGGACCAACACACACGTCAGTTGTGTCTCTGAGGACTAGAGATGGCCAGGACCCAGGACCCCAGCTAGCCTCCGGATGCTGCTGGCTGCTGGGGACCCGTGACCTAAGGCACACCCCTCAAAACATTTTCTTTCATTCCTGTCAATCTCCTGTACTGGTGACTGGGCTGGGACCTCCTGCTGGCCTCCAGGGCCCCACCTGAGCCTCTGGTCCCGGCCTCAGTCAGGCCCAGGCCTAGGGGACCGGCTTCTTGTTTCCTTTCCCGAGAGCGCTCTGGGAGTCCTTACAATAGATTCCAACCCAGGCACTTTTGACAGTGAAAGAAGATTTGTATTATTTTCTTAGGGCTGCCGTAACAAATTGCCACAAACTTCATGGTTTAAAAGAACAGAAATTTATTATCTCACGGTTCTGGAAGTCAGAAGTCCGAAATCACAGTGTCACAGGGCTGTGCTCCCTACTTAGGCTCCAGGCAAGGTTCTTCTTTGCTTTCCTGCTTCCAGTAGCTCCAAGCTTGGCTCGTGGCTCTGATCTCTGCCTCCAGCCTCCCATAGCCTTCTCCTCTGTGTGTGTCTCTCCTTTTCTGTCTCTTACAAGGACTGAGTACTCAAACTTATATCTAACAAAGTACTGGTATCAAAAATGTAAAAATTACTCCTGCAATTCAATAATAAGAAGACAAACAACTTAATTAAAAATGGCAAAGTCAGGATGAACTTACCCGAAGATCCTTAATTTAATTACATCTACAAAGCCGTTTTATCCAAATAAGGTTATAGTCACAGGATCCAGGAGTTTGGACCCAGACCAACCTTTTGTGGGGGCCACAATTCAACCCACTCCAGGATTTTAATAATAACTATTCCATAACAAAAGACAGAACACCATGACTGTCCCTCCATTCGCCTGCATGGCCTCTGAAACCTAAGGACACCTTAGAAGTGGCATCTCCAGCTCGGCGTGGTGGTTCATGCCTGTAATCCCAACACTTTGGGAAGCCGAGGCCGGCAGAGCACTTGAAATCAGGAGTTTGAGACAAGCCTGGGCAACATGGCAAAACCCCGTCTCCACTAAAAATACAAAAATTAGCCAGATGAGGTGGTGCACGCCTGTAATCCCAGCTATGTGGGAGGCTGAGGCAGGAAAATCATTTAAACCTGGGAGGTGGAGGTTGCAGTCAGCCGAGATCGAGCCACTGCACTCCAGCCTGGAAGATAGAGTGAGGTTCTGTCTCAAAAAAAAAAAAGTGTCATCTCCACCACTGGCTCCCTGGGCCACAGACAGGCAGGGAGGAAAAGGACTCAGATCCCTCGTGTGCCTTCCACTGATGGCTTCGCCTCCTCCTCTAACAGGCCTGTGGTCTGATGTTGAGTCCATGTGGCCCCCAGTCTATGCCGGAGGTACTCCCCGGCTAACCCTAGAAGCCAGTTGTATTAGTCCTTTTTCATGCTGCTATGAAGAAACACCCAAGACTGGGTAATTTCTAAAGAAAAGAGGTTTAATAGACTCACAGTTCTTCACAGGGCAGCAGGAGAGAGAATGAGTGTTAGCAGGAGAAATGCTGGGCACTTATAAAGCCATCAGATCTCACGAGACTCACTCACTATCATGAGAACAGCATGGGGGAAACCGCCCCCATTATCCAATTACCTCCATCTATCTAGTCCTAACTTTAACACGTAGGGATTATGGGGATCGTAATTCAAGATGAGGTTTTGGGTGGGGACACAGCCAAATCATATCAACGATGTTATCCTGTCAGAACTCAAGAGAAGGGTGAGGGCTGGGGGAGGGCCGGGGGATGAGCCCATCTGAAGTGGCCAGTGGAAGCAGTTGGCCTTCTGGAGAAGGAGGCAGGAAAGGCTGGGAGGTAGGTGGCCTTGGAGGCCCAGAGGGTAGGGGGAGAACATGGGGGTGGAGTGACAGCTGGACATCCCGAGGTAGAGACTGGAAAAGGAGGCCTAGGGAGTTCCAGATGTACCCACCTTTCTCTTTGTAACTTAATGCTGGTTGCATGACCTGTAGGTAACGTTGCAGGGGACTTGGGGTACAGTATGAGCTCTGTGGTTCCCTGCTTTGAGAAAAGGAATCCTCTTTACAAACTTTCTATGTGATTGTGGTGGGGGTAATAATAAAGAGAGCCCCCCACTGCCCACCACAAGGGCAGTCAGAGGACCCACATTGGCCAGAGTGTGTCACACATTGGATGTGCTTATTAGGTTGGGATCAGCACGTGGACAGCAGGGCCAACTAGGGTCCATTGTTAGGAAACTGAGTGCTGGGAGAGCAGTTGTCTCTCCTTCGGCATGTGCTCTAAGGAGTCTGAGCTTGGACCTGCTGAGCACCATAGCTGTCTCCTGGGGAGACTGTGTCTGAAGCTGGAGCCCAACAGAGCCCTGCAGAGGCCAGAGACGGGGAGGGAAAGTTCAGGACCTTGCTTGGACTCCTGGATCCAACCTCACTTCAAAGTCATGGTCACGGATTTCCCAGTTAGAGAGCTCACCTTGAGAGGTGGGGTCTCTGTCCCATCCCCTGGAATCTAGGTGAGCTCTATGACTTCTCTGACCCATAGAGTGAGGCATATGGTGCTGTGCCCGCTTCTAAGCTCAGGGCTAAGAGGCTGTCAGCTTCCACTTCCTGCCTTTCTGATCCAGATGCCATGCTGTGAGAAGGCCCAAGCCACATGGAGGAGCTGTGCCTAGGCCTGCAGACCACAGCCCTCACTCGGTTCCCAGCTGCCAGCTATGTGAGGAAGCCACTTGGGATGTCCAGCCCTGTCGGGCCTTTGGATGACTCAGACGCCATCTGACTAACCCAGGGAGAGACCCCACACAACAACTGCCTGGCTTAGCCAAGCCAACTCCTTCAACTGTGAAAGATGGTGACAAATTATTGTTTTAAGCCACTAGGTTTTGAGGTTATTATGCATTATTTGAAAATAATTAAAATTATTTCAAAAACTGTTTATTGTGACTGATATGGATGCCTAAGGTCCTTGCATAAATGTGTCCTCACTTGATTTAGATGCCAAAATAGGAATCTGCACCTTGAATCTCATCATGAGCTCCATGAAGCTTTGGGTAGCCTCAAGAATTCTAGAGTGCAGGGGCTTAAATTCAAATAACTCTGGCAGAACACTGATGGCCTCCCTCCTCTGGCTGTATCATGCACAGCCTGCTTCAGCTAAGGGGACAGAAGGAGGGAGCCAGCATTTCTCTGAGAACCAATTATAAACACCTTGGGGGAACTCTCATGATCAGTAAGATGCTTTCTGAGCATTGCTTTATGCATATGCTAAGAAGCTGGGGCAAGAGTAGCTTTTTTTGTAATAGTACATTTTACGTAAATTTTTACTGAAGTGAACAGACATATACAAAAATATACAAATTATAATTATATGGTTCGATTAATCTTTGCCAAGGGAACCATGTCACCCGCACTCAGATTCAATAATTGAACATTGTAAGCACCCAAGAAACTGACTTGCACCCTGTGTTGATCATGCCCCCCCAACAGTGATAGTCACCTCATTCTCCAGAGGCCTTAGGCATTGCCTCAGGATCATGGTGGAAGCTTCTCTGGGTGGGGCTGCTTGGGGACCAGCCATCCTGCAGTGGGCCCATGATAAGCACCTGTGGCGCCACACCCCTGGCTAGCAGGCCTGCTGGGAACACCTGTAGGAAGACCTTGGCAGGATCATTGGCCCTTGAGTCAGCTGCTTGCTCAACTTCATGATCAGAGATAAAGGTGAATGCAAGTACTGTGGCCATGCCATGCTTAGGACTCGAGAATGGTGCAGCCTCTCTGTAGGCCAGGGAAGGACCACTAATATGGCTCCCAGCCAAGGGCCTCAGGGATTCTGAATGGCACAGTCTCTGCAGAACTTGCACTGTGTGGCTTCAGGTCTTCCAGGACAGCTAAAATGTGTGGGCCTTGAGGGTGCCTTTGGGTGCTCATAGCCTCATTAGGGAGATGAAGAGGTGAGCAGATGTCACATATGTCAAGACAGTGGAAGCATTAAGAAAGGGGAAAGGATGGGGAGGATATCACCCCAAAGGTATGGGAAAGGACCTGGTATGTCTGGAAAGTGAAGAAGGCCAGTGTGGCTGGAACAAAAGGCACCTGGCCAGAGAGCTGGGAGATGAGGGCAGACAAGGAGGAAGGGGCTTTCTAGGCAAGGCTGAAGCCTGGATTTACCCAGAAGGCAATGAAGAGCCACCAGACACTTTAGGGGGCCCATGGTGTTGTAAAATGAAGCATTTGGGCTTTGTCCCAGGTTCCTGGAAGGGAGCTTGGCATTTTCAGGGTGGCAGGAGTGTCTTTGCTATTCATCGTGGGTCCCTGGGGCCACACCGGAGTTTATGCTGACCAGGTGCTTCAAGGTGGGACTCCATAGCTTCAGGATGCAGGCTGGCCAACCATGGCAAGACCAGCCATGTGAATAAAGGGTCAGGACTTTGAGCCACATGATATCAGCCTGACCTCTGGGGAGAGAGTGGGTATTGGAATTGAGTACAAAGGTGTAAGCAATGATTTCATCAATCATGCCTAGGTAACAAACCCCAATAAAAACTCTGGACATTGTAGCTCAGTGCAGCCACCCTGGTTGGTAATCATATAACCGTGTTCTGGGAGGCTTCACATTTGGGAATCTCCCCAAACCTCTCCCTGTGCATCTTTTCATTTAGCTTGTCCTGATTTGTACCAATCAATAAAACTGGAATTGTAAGTGCAGAGGTTGGTGAGTCATTCTAATGAATTATTTATTCAACTTGAAGCCCTGAGTGGGAGCCTCTATCTTGGTAGCCAGTGATTGGAAGTGTGGGTGCACTGGGAATGCAGCTGGCATCCTGCAGGGCCCTAAGTCTGTGGCATCTGTGCTAACATCAGGTGGTTACTGTCAAGACTTTCTTCACTCAGTCAGGTCTGTGCTTCAGGTGCACTGCTCTGTGGAGTGGGGAGGGGGCCTGGAGTGCATTTCTGCTCATGGGGCTCATGATTTGAACTCAGGCCTAATATGTTAATGAGCAGACACCTGGCCAAGCCCTGGGGGCCTCAAAAAACCAAGACAGGGGAAGCATCAAGAATGTGATGAGAGAGTACGCGGCCATGGGAGTGTCACCTTTGCCTTCTCTTCTCCCTGTGGCTGGAAAGGCTGGCCTGTCTGGCTGCCCAAGGATAGATGGGGAGAGGTTTAATTGAATCACCTACTGTGTTGGGTAAAGTAAACTGTCGTCATTGCAAATATAATCAGGACTGTATTTTAACAGTAGAAAATGTGATTATAATGACATATTTATCAGCTCCTTTCACCTGGGTGGATCTGAGGACATTTCAGAAAACAAGTGATTGGAATTGCTTGGCCTACCTCACACACTTACACACACACACTCTCACACACTCACAGAGACACACACTTATAAGCACACACAGTCCTGTGCATGCACACAAGTGTATACACACCCACGCACATTTCCACATGCATGTGTGTGCACACTCACATACACAAACACACAGAGACACACCCTTACAGGGCATCTGGTGCTCTGGCCTGCTCTGACACGCAGCCCCTCCTGGGAGTGGGCAGTAAGCATTGGGGGGACATGTAGGTAGTCCCTGGGGAAGCTGGAAGGCTGACCACCTGGCGAGCAGCAGGGCGCACTCACTGGAGCCCCTGCCTGGATGAGCTGGCTTTGCTCAGCTCCAGCTGTGGTTCCCTCTGTAGACTGTGGGATCAGAAAGCCCTCATCACATGATGTAACTCTCACAAGGCTGCAATCTACTTCCCTGTCCAGGTCCCAGAGGCTCCAGGCTCTTTGTGGAGTCACCTGCTTGGGCAGCCACGGTTCTGTGGAGCTGCTTGTCAGAGAGTGCGCAGGCTCTGGAGTCAGTCAGACCTGGGTTTGACTGCTGACTCCATCTCTTACCTGCTGTGTGGCCATGAGCAAATGCCTATTCTCACTGGGACTCAGTTTCCTCATCTACAAAGTGAAACGTGTTCATACTTCCCTTATGGTCAGTGAGGATGGAATGGGATAACATTCTGCACCCCGCCTGGCACCACAGGCATATGAGGTATTCGATAAGTGAATGATTGTGCCAGACAAGAAAGCTGCCTGCCCTCCTCCTCCTCGGCCCTGTGCAGGGACTGGGGTGGATGAGAAAGCCCGTGTTTCCTGAACACCTGTTTGCACCAGGCACCTATTTGGCTGCTGCCTGGATGTCCTTCTCAGGTTCCAGCTCAGGTCTCTTGGACCAGTCCCCTGGTCTGGGGTAGGGATGCCTGGAACGGCTCTAGCGGCAAGGCCATATCTCGCCAGGCTGCCAGGATGAGCTGAGCATTGTGTCCACGGTGGGTGTCTGAAGGAAATAATGTATACAGTGGTCCATTTCCAAGACCAAGTGCCTTGAATCGGCTTAGGTCAGCAAACTATAGAAGCAACAGGACATACTAGGCCCCTGCTTGGATAGCTGCTGCCTGCTTGTCGGCCTCCCCCTTCTTCCCTCTTCCCCACCCCCTTAGTTGCCCTCACCCGAACCAAAGAAGTTTAGATAAAAGTTTATTAGTCTGCAAGATAGCTTGATTTGTCTCTTCTTGTCAGCCTGCCTAGCTACTTAGGTCATAAGTCAAACACTTGAAGAGCCCCTGAGCTGACTAGGATTGCAATGCATTGTGAGCTGCAACAAAATGCAGCAAGACAACCCTAAAAAAAAACACCTAAAGCCCCTACCTAACAATCAATAGGCAACATCCGGGAAAATTGTGACCCCATAGTACTCAGTCTATGAGCAACTGGGGGAGGGACCCGTACTCTAGGGATAAACTGCTTGTCGAAACTGCTGGGTGTGCTTGTCCATCAGACACCCGATCTTGCAAGTTCATCATTAAAAGTTTCACTTTCGCTGTTCTCTGGGTATCTGAGTCCATTCTTTGGGTTTGGACGGGTAAGTTTGTTTCTCACATGTACAAGCCAGAGGTCCATGAGTGAGAATCGGGGGCCAAGGAGCTTTGTCCATGGGGCCGTAATGGGATGAGAGGGCAGAGGTTATCAAACTCTGAGGGCTGGAGGAAGACATGGTTTCTACCTCTTATCTCATTTCCTACTCATTTAGCCTTCGGAGGCAGGCACTGCCGCTATCCCACCGAGGAGGAGTCTGACACTGTGGGCGGTGAAGGCCACAGTTACCCGGTGAGTAGCTGGGCTGGACTCCACCCTTGCTCCCTCCTACAATCAACCTCCTGCTCCTCCCAACAACTTTCCTGAAAGGAGGCAGTGACCACTGTGCCCTTGCAGCCTCCCCGGCAACCGACTTCTGAATCATCCCACTGCAGAGATCTCATTACCGCAGTGAGTGTGGCTCCAGCCTCCCCTCCCTTGGCTGCTAATGAGCGCCCTAATTTGATTGCCTCCAAATGAGTGTGATGCAAAATTAAAAGATGCCAGAAGACATGACCATAAATCCAGTGAGTTGGCTTCAATTTATTATGTTTGAATTCAATTAGATTTCTCCTCCGATGTTTTCCGAATATTTATCTAGCTGCCGGCTACAGAACGATAACTGGAAGGGGCTATTACTGTTTAATTCCAGCCTCCTCCATTCAGCTTGGGCTCTGGCAATACCGTTGGATGGAAAATCTCAGCCTGGATGTGGGGAGGTCAAGGGAGTTCAAGGTCAGCTGCTGAGCCTTCTGCCAGCCAGCCAGCATATTTCCTGTTGGGGAAGGGATTCAAAGCAATATACCCTATTAAAATGTTTTAAAAATGATTTTTAGTGCATAAACACTACAAGGGACTCCACAGAAGGGAGTGTTGGTGTCAAGGCCTTTGTTGTGTCACAGGCAGCAGGGGGGATGGGGATCTGGGGTCTGGGCTCAGCCTGGCCACGAACTTTGTGTGACTTGGGAAAATCACTAACCTTTTCCAGCCTTGGCTTCTCCATTTGCAAAACGACGGAGTTGGACTCTGGGAACTGTTTTCAGTGGCCCTGGATTCTGCACTGCTACTCTCCTTTTAGTTTCAGGGTGTTTGCCCACTCTCCTTCCCCACCCCCACAGCCATGTGTCCTGCTTGACCCTGGGAACCTGACGTCTTTAAGCTGCCTCTCAGGCTTTCTTACTGACTGGGCAGAGGTTGGAATTAGCCAGTGGGAGACTCTAGCTGGAAGGCAAAAGTATAGGAAGAGAGAGAGTGGTCAGTGTATCCCCCCACCCCGTCCCCACTGCCCCTCCCCAAGGCTGTGTCTCTCCAAGACATCAGCTCCTGCTGGAAACCCCTTCTCCACATCTCTAGCTCTTACTGGCTGTGGCAACACTATTCCTCTCTGTCTAGCCCCATGAGTAACAGCATCCTAGAGTTGTTTGTTTTCGTGCTTCTCAACATCCCTGTTCATCCTCTTCACCTGGCCACACTTCTGTAAGGACTACTGCCATTAAAGTCTCATCATTTGAAGCATTCAATGCCATTTCTTGCCATGACCCTGAACAATGCAGATACTAAATCCATTTTTCGACTGTGGTTTTCCATGGAGGGCTCCCCAGGTCTAGAGGGGAGCTGAGACAAAAGCATTCCCGGCTTGGGAGCCTGTTGTGCAGTTGGGGAGGTCCCAGAGCACCAAGGCCAAGCTGGGGAGACGTTGTCCCTACGGGCATGGCCAGGCCTCCGGCCTCAGGGAGGAGAGGGAGACGGTGATCATGGAGGGGAGGCCCTGGGAGTGAGAAGCTGGGGGAATTGTTCCACCCTGCCCCTCCCCCCAACCTCCAGAGAGCGAAAGACGATGGGATGTGGGAGGAGGGCAAAGGGGAAGAGGAAGAGGCTCCCTGTCCTGCTGGGTCCTTAGCCAAGTTGGAAGTGGGAGAGTGAGAAGCCCCCATCTAGGGCAAAGGAGTATGCCCCCAGGGGAGGAGAGAAAGGCTGATGACACAGAGGGTTCATTTGCTCTGAAATGGGCCTCCCAGTGGAACAGTGACGAAGAGGCAGAGTCAGCCGTGGCGGAAGAGCAGGAAGGAGAGGAGTCCCAGAGCAGGATGGAGGGAGCATCAGGGAGATGGGTGGATGGCCAGGGCTGGCCTATGGGGCGATGACCAAAGGTTGCAGGGGTGGGTTCAGGAATGAGACCAATGAAGTCTCCTGATTTATGGCTTCCAGCTTTGGTGTAAGTCAATGACCCGAATCCCTGGAGAAGGGTGGGGAATCTGACTCTGAATATGTGGCCCAGGAGCCCTGCATGAAGGAGCTGGGGCCTGAAGAGTAACTCTGCATTGAGTACTAGGCCTCCAAATCAGATCCTGGCCAGCTGCTGTCTCTGATGGCTCCCAGTCCTCCCCTCAGACCCACGGCTGTAGGCCAGACTGGCAGGGGCAAGAGGCAGGAGCCAAGTGGGACATGTCCAGTGTCCTGGCCAAACATACACTGGACGCAGATGAGCCATATGCCTGGGAAACAGAGAAATGGGGTGAGGCCAGGTCTTCTTGTGAGAATGAATGTGCCTTACTCTCTCCTGGAGAGAGGGTGATGACAAGAGTTCAATCATTCATTCATAATTGCTTTTTGATTTAAGCAGGCGAGTTTGTTGTTTAACAGGCTGGGAACATCTCTCTTTTATTGAAACATGTGACATAGCAGGTTAAACTCCTAAAGATTCAGCACAGCAGATGAGAATCAAGGAGTTTCCTTCTTAAAAAGCATAACTTGCATATGAATGAAGATGATTCCAAATTATGTTTTTTCCCCATGACCCTAAAATTTTATCCCAAATGGAGTTATCATATTAGATATTGATCAGATCAGCATTTCATATCAAAGCTCAGGACATCCATCTAAATATTTAAAAATCTTTCACTCTCACAGCACATCTTGTGATCAATGTAAAACAAACAGATAGGAACAAATCAAATATGAGAGAAGGGTTTATGGTGAGAGAAAACAGTTTCTATCCTCTCCCCTCCCCAGTCCTGGCCTCACTCTCCAGAGGCAACTTCTTGTAAACATTTCCATTTTTAGTACTTCTGGTGGGCGCCTCCACAATGCTTAGTAGCATGTATAGGCACCCTTATTTTTTTATTCATCTGGAGAAAATTTATCTACCTCCTGTGACGGAACATAAGAAATGGCCTCATTATGCACCTCTGCTTCCTCCCTTCATCCTTCCAAAGTTTTATCATTTTGGCATAATTATTTTTAGTTTTCTGTTATTTACTTTTAAAACTTTAAACCATATAATTGTACTTTGATTCTGCATTCCATCCACCTCAGGGAGAGTAACGGTCTGGGGCGGTCAGGTTGGGTCTGTTCCCATACCCTCCCCTTCTTCTGAAAGGACTCTCCCCTCCCTCCCGGGGGCCTGTGCCCATGACCAGCCAGTCACAGGGCCAGGCATATGTCCTGGGCCCTGGCCACTGTGGGATACAGGCATGCTCCCCAATCTTGACCACTAGGAATCCTGCAGGACTTTCACTACTAAAACTGCTCTCTTCAGGTCACAACAGTAACTATCAGTTCAACTACAACAAAGGTTTCTGAAGACAATGGCTTCTCCACCCAAGCAGGTTGTATATAAATTCCAAATAGAACTTGGCATCACCCTGAAGGAATTCTAACTTCACACTGTTGGGGAAATTTACCAAGATAGCTTCAGAGTAAACTAACTTTACACAGCACATTAAAACAAAAGACATTTATTCAGCGTCATGATCAGACTATTACATTTAGCAATCAACAGCATGGGTGCAAAAAAAAAACCTATATTAAAACCCTTAGCTGGAATGCTTTACACTTCCCACAGAACAGAAACTAAAATAACCTGTTATACAGTTAGTCACAAATACAGTCCTCGAGATTTTTGCCCATACACATGAGTATTTGTCTAAAACATGTCTTCTTTGTAGCAGCTAGGCCCTGCCACCACTGTGCTTGGCTGAGTTCACAAATCTGTCGTAACCTGTAGATTCCCTGTCATTTCTCTGGCTCTCCTCTCCTGCTAAGCTTTGTTTCCTAATTAAAATCTGCCACTGCCATAGCTACTGCTGCTGCTGGAACTGCCAATAGCCACCTTGGTTTCATGGTTTTGCAAAGTATAGGCCTCCATTGCCACAGGGGCCAGAGCTTCTGCCTCCAAAATTTCCTCCCTTCATGGGTCCAAAATTTGAAGACTCATTGTTGTAATTGCCAAAATCATTGTAGCTTCCACCACCTCCAAAATTGCTTCCATCATTACCAAATCCATTACAGCCATCCCCACTGCCACCATATCCACCACCACCACGACTGCCACCAAAGCCACCAAGACCACTGAAGTTTCCTCCAATACCAAAGTTGTCATTCCCACTGAAACCACCTCCACGACCACCACCAAAGTTTCCAGAACCACTTCGACCTCTTTGGCTGGATGAAGCACTAGCCATCTCTTGCTTTGACAGGGCTTTCCTAACTTCACAGTTGTGGTCATTCACAGTATGGTATTTCTGAATGACAATCTTATCAACGGAGTCATGGTCATCAAAAGTTACAAAGGCAAAGCCCCTTTTCTAGCCACTGACTCGGTCAGTCATGATTTCAGTCACCATTAAAAGGGATTACCCAAGCAAAATCATGGAATTATTGGTTATAAAAGTAATTGTTGGCACATCCTATGTAACATATCTAATTGAATAATGGTACCAGATTAAATTATAGATGGGAATGAAGCTTGTGTATCATCCATTATCATGTGTAATCAATAAACAATTTAATTCTCTTGAAAAAAATAAATAAAACTGCTCTCTTTTGTTCTGGGATTACCTCTAGGAAGGAAATGTAAAATCAGCTCTTGTAGGGTGCCTCCAGGCCCCTGACACGTGGAAAGATCGTGCAGGAGAAAACCAACCCAGAGGTCAGTGGAGGTGGAGAGGAAGTTGTGAGAGAGATCAAGCTGTGGTGGTGAGAAAGGCAGCTGGTCCTGCTCACTGAAGCCTCCATTGCTTCCGGACTGTCACAGTTACACCGACCTGACAATTTCAGTATTAGCATTAGAGAATTGTTTCAGCTTTCCAACTAACGCAGGGTGTATTGTACTCCCCACCTCAGGTAAGATGAGAATTAGCACGTAGGCTGCCTGTGCTAGTTTTCTGTTGCTGCTGTAACAAATTTCCACAAATTTATGATTTGCTTAGAGCACCACAAATCTTACAGTTCTGGAGGCCAGAAGTCCAGCATGGGCCTCACGGGGCTAAAATCAGTGTCACAGGGCAGCTGTGTTCCCATGAGGCGGCTGTGTTCCCATAAGGCTCCGGGTGGAGACTGTTTCCTTGCCTTTTCCAGCTTCTAGAAGCTGATGGAGTTCCTTGGCCAGCCACTTTCTCCCTCCATTGTCACAGCAGGTGTGGCTTCACTCTGACCTCTTCTGCTTCTCCCTTCCACCGAAGGGCCCCTGTGGTTACACTGGGTACACCTGGGGGCTTAGCCTGTCTAATATTGCCACACCCTCTTGTGAATCTTCTTTTTTCTTTTCTAAGAGATGGGGTCTCGCTTTGTTGCCTAGGCTGGAGTAGGGTGGTGTGACGGTAACTCACTGCAGGCTTCAATTCCTGTCCTCAAGCGATCCTCCTGCCTCAGCCTCCCAAAGTGCTGGGATTACAGGTGGGAGCCACAGTGCTAGGCCTCTCATGAACCTTGTCTTCCAGAAATGTGTTGGACTCTCATCCATTAGTAAGCCATCTTTCTCTCTTTTTTAATGCTTTTCCCTTATAGATTTACTTCATTTTAAATTTATAAGCTTAAATTTCAGTGATGATGTCTTAGGAAGAACAGGAGAGGAGGAACAAAGGAACAAACTTCTTTAATGGGAAGCTGAAAGGACCCTTTTAAAAGTGTGCAGTGGAGAGATCCTGGGCTTGGTCTCTGGTAAACCTGGTGAATGGTGGGTTAACACTCCCTCCCTCACTCGGTGTTGCTGGGAGGATAAGACAGAACATGTGGCGAGCAGGTGTCCAATAGCTGCCTCTTGCTATGTGCAGCCAGTGCCACATCCAGGCTGAGTGCTGTGGGGAGTGTGGCTCATCCCACTGGGGCCACCCCAGGCCTCGCTCACTGGAGACTCCAGAATCAGGGCTGACTGAGCAGCTTGTGGCACTGAAGAATGTTCTAGGAAAGGAGGTGTGTCCTCCTTGGAAGGGGAAGCTTCATGGTGGGTGAGCTGAGGGTAAGGGGTGGGTGAGGGCCATTTGAAGAGTCACCTCCCCTACATTCTTTTATCTTTTGGAGCCTCCATCCACGCCACTTCAAACAATGAACACACACATCCAAGTCAGTAAGTGCACTTTGTGTATATCTATATAAGTGATGCGCAATTACTGTATAACAGTTCACTAGCTGACCTGACATTATTCACATATCGTAGGCATGTGACTAATTGTAGGTGTGTAATGAAGTGTTCACATCTTATTACATATTTAATTCCTAAGGCATTTCTACAGTTTTATTTGAGAATTTTGGAACTGCCAGTGTGTTTTTCATTTTTCAAACCTTTTCACAGGCCCTGAAAAAACCCAAAGGCCTTATATTCTGGGACCGTAATGGACAAAACAGCCCTGGGAAGTATGCTTGGGAGGATGGCGAAGGCTGGGTTTGCTGAGGGAGGTGCCAGCTAAGGTGCTGGGCACACCAGAGGCAAGGGATCTGGACCACAACTGTCAGTTTGATGAACACACTAATGGTGGAGTGACCCCCACCAGGAGTGGCCAGCAAGCAGGGTCCAACAGGAAAGACATCTGGGAGGCCAGCAGGTGGAATCCTGGCTCTGCCACCTTCGTGCTATGTGATATCAGCCAAGTTACTTGCCCTCTCTGATTCTCAAATGCTCGGAGGCCCTTTGACCTCTAGAGTCTATGGGACCTGAGTGACCACAGGGCTCTGGTTTGTTGGTGGCTGCCTCTTTATTTAACTCCTTTTCTCAAATACGGTCTATGGGCTTTGCTTAAAGTGAGGTGTCCTGTGCACACTCTTCTCCATGACTTTGAGGCCGTGAGAAGGCCCGCCCTGCAGAAGGACTGAGGAAACTAGTGCTGGAGTCTCCTTTCTTGTATCAGTGAAGGAAGGGGAGAGAGGAGATAAAGTGCTCAGGTTACAGAATGTGAGGATCGTGCCCCTTTTTTCCAACTGAAGACATTCCTAGGCGTTTTATCTCCCCTGTTGCAACTCCTAAATCACAAAAACCTTATGCATCCAGTTTGGCTGACATCCACCTGCAATGGGAATGAGTGAGATTGAGCCACTCCTCAGGTGAATGGAAAATTAAGGCCAACCAAGGCCCACCCCATGCCCCACTGTGGGGTCTAAAAGGAGCAGGCACTGGCCTGCTTTCTTTTTCCCTAAAGAAAGCTCTTTGGGGACCCAGCAGAAACAGCAGAGGTGGGGATGCGAGCTTCCGCCTGCATTTGTTCCAGGGTGGGCCAGTGAGGATTTGGGAGGAATGGTGTGGAAAGGCCCTGCCCAAGAAGGCTGGATGCTGGCTGGGGAATGCCCAGGGTGCCAGCTCCCTACCCTGGGGAAAGGCCAGGCTGGCATATGCCGGAGCCAGGGTCCAAGGTCACAGAGAGGCCACACCTGGGCACCCCTCCCAGCAAGGGAAGGTCCAAGCTGGGAATTACTTCTCTTTGGAAAGTGAGGGGAGTGGTACAGAAATATTGCTATTGTTGCTGTTGTCCTGTCACTTCTGGCATTGGAAATGGTGTTGAGCTTCTACGTGACGGGCATTGGAGGTCAAACCTGAAACAGGTGAGGCCCATCCCTTTACTAGGCTCACGTTCTAGGTAGGGAGGAGGCAGGTACCTCCTCCACCTAAGAAACAACAAGAGATAGAGAATGCAGTAACTGTCCTAAAGAGAAAAACCAGGGGATGGAGAGAGAATAATGGTTGTCAGGACGGGTCAGACTTTAGGATGGTAAATGAGGAGTGGTCTCTGAGAAGGGATGAGGCAGAGGAAGTGAGGCTCAGGGAAGTGAAGCACTTGCCCAAGGCAGCCTGCTGGTCATGGCAGAGCTGGCAAGCTCATTCCTTCCTCATTATGTCAACCTTCTGGGACCAGAGTCTGGGCAGGGCAGAAACTACTGCACCAGGGGTGCGTGGCTCCAGCAGAGAGAGACAAAGTGCCCCATGCAATCCAGAAACTGAGCCCTCTGGGCTCAATCTTCAAAGGAATGACTCTCAGAGTTGTGTCCCCTGCCTTTTCTTCACCATGGAACTTTTCCCAGCTCCACTCTGGTGGGCTTGGGGACAGGACCTGCCCTCTGCAAAGTGATGACCAAGGATAAGTCGGATCTTCAAGGAGACCTTGGAGAACACCACCCTCTTATTGTGCAAAAGAGGAAACAGGTCCAGAGAGGGTGAGCCATTTTTTCAGCATCACACAGCTGACCTGGAGCAGAGTTTCCTAAAAGCTCCCTCGGTGCTCTTTCCCCTGCTGTGGCTAGACCCCTCCACAGGAACTTAACAGGAACCCAAAGGAACGAGTCACTCATGGCAGAATCACTAATGTGATGGAGGGCAGGAGTGAGAGACGGCATAATGTCAATGCTGGCACACTCCTGGCACACGGGAAGCTGTCCATGAGTGGTTGCTTCCCACCACTTCCATCGCCCAGTTTGGGACATGTCTGAGATCCAGTGCTGAGCCCAGGGTCTAGCATGTCATGGGAGCTCAGGAGTTCCTAATTGACTACATGAATGCTAAGGTGTGGGATGTGCTCCTTCCTGCTTTCTCATTCTCAAAGAACACTCTTATACACCTGGTTGTGGGGAGGGTATATAGGCAATCAACTTTTGCGTACTCACTTCCATTGTAGGATCATGCATGCATGTGGACGTGCACACACACACAAACACAAATGCACACACACACACACACACCTGCCTTCTCAAACTTGTGGGACCAGAAAGGATGCTGCAAGGCCTAAGATAATAATTGCTGGTCTCTTTTTTCTTATGCTTTAGCAGGAAAAACACACTCTTCCAAGCACACAGCTGCAGAGGTCTTCCTGAGCATCATGTAGTCTTTAATCATGTTGTGGAGGACAGGATGATCTGTGCCTCAGGAATCAGCTTAGTTGATAACTCAATTCCATGGCTGGGCCCCATTTGTAAGCAGTCATGGCACATCCCATGGAAACCTATAATCTAATTATGGCTGCTGCATCAGTCCTCATCCTTCATGCTGTCATCCACAGCTCCTCACCACCCATCTTACTTGGATGAAGGCTCTCTGAGGTATGAAGGGCAAACATCTGATCCTTCCACTGGAGGCCTAGGCTGCTTTCCTTATTCTCACAGCAGCCACAAGTATTGGGATCACAGCTTGAAAGGCTCTTCTTGGTCCGTGGGACTGAGGCAGTCAGGACAATTTCAGGCCTTTAGTGAATGGAGGCATTTCATTACTTCAGATCTCACCTAGTCTTGGAGGTCTTGGGCATTTTTAGAACTCACCCAGCCAGGCTGCCACTCAGGGTGAGGCTACCTGGATTGTTTATTGGTAACGAATGTTTGAATCAGAGACCGTTAGAAAACCAAAAATGAAGATTTTAACAATACAAAAAGCAGAACCTAAAGAGGTTTAATCAGTAGGATTGGTACCAGTTCTTTGTATGTCTGATAGAATTTAGCTGTGAATCCATCTAGTCCAGGGCTTTTTGTTGTTGTCGTTGGTAGGTTTTTTATTATTGGTTTAATTTCAGAGCTTGATATTGGTCTAGTCAGGGTATCAGTCTCTTCCTGATTCAATCTTGGGAGATTGTATGTTCCCAGGAATTTATCCATTTCCTCTAGATTTTCTAATTTGTGTGCATAGAATTACTCACAGTATTTTCTGAGGATCTTTTGTATTTCTGCATGTATCAGTATGCCATACTGTTCAAGCACATGGACTTTGCAGTTGGACATTCCTGAGTACAAATTCTGCTTCTGGCAGAGCATTTAGGTGACTTAGTCTGCTGACTAAGCTGCAGTATCTTCATCTGCAAATGAAGATGAATTGTAATATCTTTGTCATTTCTGACAGTACTTATTTGGAAATTCTTTTTTCTTTGTTAATCTAGCTAGTGGTCTCTCAGTCTTGTTTATTTTTTTGAAAATCAACTTTTGGTTTCATTTATCTTTTGTATGGATTTTTGCATCTCAATTTCATTAAGTTCTTCTTTAATTTTAGTTATTTATTTTCTTCTGCTAGCTTTGGGGTTGGTTTGCTCTTTTTCTCTAGTTCTTCTAGGTGCAAACTTAGACTGTTAATTTGAGATTGTTTTAACTTCTTGGTGAAGGCATTTAACGTTATAAACTTTCCTCTTAACACTGCTTTGGCTGTATCCCAGAGACTTTGTTAAGTTGTATCTCCATTTTCATTACTTTCAAAGATTTTTTTATTTCTGCCTTAATTTTGATTTTCACCTAGGAGTTAATCAGGAAAAAGTTGTTTAATATCCATGTATTTGTGTAGTTTTGAGAGATCTTCTTGATATTAGTTTCTATTTTTATCGCACTGTGGTCCAAGAGTGTGTTTGGTATAATTTCAATTTTTTAAAATTTATTGAGACTTGCTTTATGACTCAGCATATGGTTGATCTGAGAATATGTTCTGTGTACAGATAGGAAGAATGTATATTCTGTGGTTGTTGGGTGGAGTGAATGTCTATGAGGCCCTTGTAGATAAAATAATAGCTGAAATTAGAAAAAGAGGTTTAACCAGCTTTACTCATTTAAAATGCAAATGTGCTATTAGATAAGGGCCACATCACTTGGCATCAGGCCATAAGACAAGATGTGTCTGGATTATCCTGGGATTAATACTCATTTCCAAACTTCTAGGACTATTGAGAGTTGTTTTTTTTTTCTAGAAATCTCTGATGGACTACATTTGTTCCATAGTTCAGCCTCATCATCTTATGAACTATTTAGATAAGGGATAGAAAGTATCTTTTGAATTCATGTCAGCACCAATAGATTGGTGGTGGCTGCTTTAAAAACTGGGCCTAGAAGGATTCTGAATTCTTAACTGGGCTTAGAGCGAAAGAATGCCATGTTCAAAGAAGAAAGTTATCAATGGCTGCAGGAGGGGTGAGGTGGCCCATGTGTCACATGACTTGCTATCTTTGCACTGGGCAACCCTAACCTCTGAGAGGGTCCTTGTTGAATAAGATAAGTAGGTCCAGCCCTCAAGTTGTTATCAGTATAGCAGAGATGGTGAGCCACGAAGTGCTGCCAGATCACTGTATTGTGTTCTGGTCATGGCAGGTGCATGTATCAGTATGCCATACTGTTCAAGCACATGGACTTTGCAGTTGGCCATTCCTGAGTACAAATTCCGCTTCTGACAGAGCATTTAGGTGACTTAGTCTGCTGACTAAGCTGCAGTATCTTCATCTGCAAATGAAGATAATACCCACCTCACAGGGTAGCTGGGGTCATTAAATGATATCAGATTTCAAAGCATTAGATGCTCACCTTGTAGTAATCATTATTACTATAATTACTGTTGGTGTGGAAACACAGACACGCCTCTAAACTGTCCTGGGTACAGAGAAGGCTCTACAGACAGGCCCTGTTTTAAATTGCAAGTGATACTCAGGCAGTCTTCAGTAAACAAAGGCAGAGGCCATTCAGTGCAGGGGAGGACATTCTGTCCCCTGGTTAGGAAACCTGAACTATGGAATAGAAAAAAACTTAGACTCAATATTCAGAACAACTTTCCTGAAATAAAGGAAGACTTGAATTTTCTGACTGAAGGGTAAATTGATTTAGAGAAGTCAATGCTGAGATGACAGATCCTAACAAAATGAATGTTTGCCTTCAAAGAAAAGAATCCTAGGAGTATCCAGTAGAAAACCATCTCTCCAAAAACCAATCAAGACAACAACAAAAATAAAAACAACTACCCCAAACAATCACATGAAAACTCAAACCAAGAGAAACACTTGCAGAATGTCAGAATAAGGACTTCTGAAAATCCTTCCTTAACAACAATGAGAGCACTGGCAAAAATGTCAAAATTAACATTTTCAGAGTCCTGGAAATTAACCAAAGGCTTTCAGCAATCCAAGTTAGATTTATTCAAGAAACACAGCTGAATCTCAGTAAGAATAGCAAATTTTGTGGTGTTTTAATTTGCCTTATTCGTAGTCTTCTTTTCCAAGCTCTATGATAGACTTGAACATAAATGTTCTCAGCTAGGCATGGTGGCTCACTCCTATAATCCTAGCACTTTGGGAGGCTGAGATGGGAGGATTGCTTAAGTCCATGAGTTTGAGACCAGTCTGGACAACACAGAGACAACCTCTGTCTTTACACACACACACACACACACACACACACAATTAACATTCTCACAACCATGACAGCTGTGAAAACCAGCAGCCTGGTAGCCACTGGGGAGGACAGAATAGGTTTAGAGCTCTCCAAAAATCCCATCCTCAGAAAGTTGTTACTATTTGATCTGTCTGACAGCTCCCTGGAAAAGGCACATTCCCAGGGATTGTCTTTGCTTAACATGGTTTGGAGCTTAGTCTGTGTGAACAGCCCTATCCTGAGGGAATCTGTCAAAAACAATCAGCAAAAATTGTTTGACATTGCAACTGCCTGAGATGGCAGTACCAGTTGGGGCTAATAAGAGGCTGACCAAAACAGTTACAAGGAAAAACTGGGGAATGAGGTATTCATAGAGGCTTTGGAAAAACTCTGACATATTCTTAAGAACCTAGAAGGCCATGTGCACGTGCAGGGTTGTACACATGTCCAAGACAGATCTAACTAGAGCTTAACTTTTGTTTGGCTTTGAGGCTCTGTGCAAGCAGGAAGTAAACTCTGAGGCAGAGTTGTCAGCTGCTTGCTGAAGCATCGAAGGCATGGCTCAACACAAACAAAGCTTCCCAGCAAAGGTAGGTAGATTTAGTTGTGCAAGGAATGTAAAGAAATCTCTGTCCAAAAATTAATGGACAACTAAACTGAGGAAAGACTTCGGTGGCTACACATGACAAAAAGTATACATTAAAACTTAGTCCAGGAAATTCACGAAACAGAGAAACAGCAGCATCGGCAACAACAACAAACAGAAGCAACAACAAATTGTGAAGAGGGGTGAGGTCTGATTTTTGGAGATGCCACATTATTTTATTTAAAACATTCAGTTTTTAAGAAAAAAATATGAGAAATACAAAGAAACAAAATGTGTGACCTATTCACAGGGAAAAAGCTGCCATTAGAAACTTTTTCTTGAGGAAGCCCAGACATTGGACTTACTATCAAAGATTTTAGAACACGTCTTAAAAACATGTTTAAACAACTAAAGGAAAACATGTTTAAAGAATGTTAAAAAGCATGACAATGATGTCTTACCAAATACAGCATATCAATAAAGAGATAGAAAATTATATAAAAAAGGGAAAAAAATAAAATTCTGGGTTGAAAGTGCAACTGAAATAAAAAATTATTAACCAGAGGGGCTTAACAGCCAATTTGAGCAGGCAGAAAAAAGATTCAGTAAGTTGAATATGGGTCAATTGAGATTATACAATCCAGGGAACAGAAAGTCAAAAGAATGAAGAAAAATGAACAGAGCCTCAGAGAGCATACCAATATGTATATAATGAGAATCCCAAAAGAAGAGGAGATAAAGGGGCAGAAAGAATATTTGAAGAAATAATTGCCATAAACTTCCCAAATTTGATGAAGAACATTAATTTACATGCTCAAGAAATTCAACGAACTACAAGTGGTATAAAAACAAAGAAATCCATACCTAGATACATCAGAGTCAAACTATCAAAAGCCAATGACAAAAAGAGAATCTCGAAAGCTACAAAAGAAAAATAACTCAGCATATACACTCTAGCTTCAAATTCCTCAATAAGATTAACAACTGACTTCTTATCAAAACCATTCAGGCAAGAAGGCAATGGGATAACATATTAAAAGTATTGTAAGAAAATGACTGTCAACCAAGAATTCTATATCTAGCAAAGGTATCTTTGAAAAAAAAGAAGAAATGTCCAGATAAATGAAAAATGAGAGAGTTCATCATGAGTAGATCTTCCCTACAAGAAATACTAAAAGGAGTCTCTCAGGCTGAAATGAAAGGACACTAGATGGTAACTTCATCCACACAAAGAAATAAAGAGCACTGCAGGGTAATTACATAATTAAAAAGACAGTATAATGTATTTTTAATTGTAATTCTTTTCTTATCCTATCTGATTTAAAAATAGCTACATAAATGAGTAATTATAAAACTGGGTTGTTGGGCTTATAATGTATAAAGATGTAATTTGTACGATAATATTAACACAAAGGAAGGGGGCAGGAAATGGACCTATATTGAAGCAATCTTTAAATATATTGTTGAAATTAAGTTGGATTGATATGGATTAGATTGTTTTATGATAAAATGTTATAATCCCCAGGGCAAGAATAAGAAAATAACTAAAAATATATGGTAAAACAAACAAAAGAATTAAAATGATATGCTAGAAAATATCAATTGAATTCAAAAGAAGACAGTAATGAGGGAAAAGAAAAACAAAAAAGATGTAGGACATATAAAAATAGCAAAATGGAAGGTGTAGAGCCTATCTTTTCAGTAAATCATATTAAATGTAAATAGAGTAAACATACCAATCAAAATGCAGAGGTTGTGATTTTAAAAAATGAATCAACTGTTATCTATAAGAGACATACTTTACATTCAAAGACACAAATAGGTTGAAAGTAATAGGATGGAAAAAGATAATCCATGAAAGTAGTAACCAAAGGGGAGCTGGAGTGGCTAGTTATACTAACAGTAGACCAAATAGACTCTTAAGACAAAAATTATTACAAGAGACAAAGAAAAACATTTTATAATTGTAAAAGTTTCAATCTATTAAGAAGACATGGCAATTAAGAATATATATGCACTTAATAGCAGAGATCCAAATACATGAAGCAAAAACTGAAGTGAGAAATAGAAAATTCAACAATTATAGTTGGAAACATCATTACTCCACTTTCAACAATGGATAGAACAACTAGGCAGAAGATCCACAAGGATATAGAAGATCTGAAAAAAACAGTAAACCCACTAGAGCTGGTAGTTACCCACAGAACACTCCACCACCACCAACAGAATAGACATTCTTTATATGTGTATATGGAATGTTCTCAAGAATAAATCTTGTCATGAGAAGAATAGTGGCCCCCAAAGATATCCATGCCCTAATCCCTGGAACCACGTTACATTACATGACAAAAGGGGCTTTGCAGATATGATTAAGGGTATAAACCTTGAGATGCAGAGATTACCCTGGATTGTTTGGGTGGGCCCAATCAAAATACATGAGTTCTTAAAAGTGGAGACACTTTCCTAACCATGGTAGGGAGATGAAATGGAAGGAGGAGGAGACAATTGAGGTGTGAGAAAGGTTTAAGTGACTACTAAACTGATGGACTTGATCCACCATTGCTGCCTTTGAGGATGGAGGAAGGGGACTATTAATAAGGGAATGTGGGTAGCTTCTAGAAGCTGGGAACAGTTCAGCTGACAGCCAGCAAGGAAGTGGGAATCTCAGTCCTACAACTTGCAGGAACTGAATTCTGCCAACAACTCGAATGAACAAGGGAACTCTCCGAGAATTTCCACAAAGGAATACAACCACACAGATTCCTATTTTTAGCCCAGTAAGACATGTCAGACTTCTGATCTTCAGAACCACAAGATAATAAATTTGTGTTAGGTGCAAATTTGTGGTAATTTGTTATGGCAGCAATAGAAAACACATACATGTATATTCATCCATAAAACAAAATGCAGTAAATTTAAAATAATTGAAATCATATAGAATATGTTCTCTAACAATAGCAGAGTGAAATTCAAAACCAAAAACAGAAAGAAATTTCGGACATCCACAAATATGTAGAAATTAAATGACACACTCCAAAATAATCAATGGGTCAAAGAAGAAATCACAATGAAAATTAGAAAATTATTTGAAATGAATGAAAATAAAATCACAACATATCAAAGTGTATGGGATGCAGTCAAAGCAATACTTAGGGAGACTTTTATAGCTGTAAATGCCTATATTAAAAAGAAGAAAGATCTCGATAACCCAGACTTCCACCTTAAGAAAGTAGAAAAGGAAGCGCAAACTAAGCCCAAAGCAAGCAGAAAGAAGAAAATAATAAAGATTGTAGTGGAAATAAATAAAACGGAATAGAAAAAACACTAAGGGAAAAAACAAGAGTAATTGCTTCACTGAAAAGAGCAATAAAATTAGTAAACCTTTAGCTTGACTGAGAAGAAAAAAGTTATGTGCCCTATTTCATTCCCTATACATTAAATTATTAAATTATTAATGTATAGGGAATTAAATTATTAAATTAATAATGTTTAGAGAATGAAATAGGGCACACCACTACCACCTCATAGAAATAAAAGGATTATAAAGGAATACTATAAACAATTGTAAGACAGCAAAATTTTAACTTAGGTGAAATGGAAAAATTCCTAGAAAGACAGGAACTACAAAAACTGAATCAAGAACAAATAGAAAATTTCAATAGACCTTAGTAAGTAAAGGGATTAAATTAGTAATTAAGAAACTCACCATGCACAAAAAAGCTCAGTACCAAATGGTTTCGCTGATTAGTTTTCCCAAACATTTAAAAAAGATTATTGTCAATTCTTCACAATCTTTTCCAAAAATAGAAGAAACAAACTTCAACTCATTCTATGATGTCATTATTCTCATGATACCAAAACAAAAGACATTCTAAGAGAACACAGCAATATCTTTCATGAATATTAATACAAAAATTATCAACAAAATACTAGCACACTAAACCCAGAAACATATAAAAATGATTATGTATCACAATCAAGTGACATTTATTTCAGGAATGCAAAGTTGGTTTAACATAATAAAATAAATCTAATTAATACACCACATTAATAAAATGAAGGACAAAATCCACCTAATCTCAATAGATGCAGAAAAAACATTTGACAAAATCAATATCCTTTCATGATAAAACACTCATAAAACTAGAAATAGAGGAGAATTTATGAAATCTAATAAAGAACATCTATGAAAAACCACAACTGACATCATCCCAAAGGGTGAAAGAGTGGATACTTTCCTTCTAAGACCAGTAAGAAGGAAAGGAAGTCCATGCTCACCACTTCTATTCAACATTGTATTAGAGATCTGAGCTAGGGCAATTATGCAAATAAGTATGTAAATTTAAAAAATAGCATCCAAATTGAAAAGAAAGATGTAAACTATATTTACAGATGACATAATCTAAGGAATTCACAAAATAACTATTACGACTAATAAATGAGTTCAGCAAGATTGCAGATACAAGAACAATATGAAAAACAATTGTATTTCTACACACTAGCAATGAATAATCTGAATATAAGATTAAGAACAGAATTCCATTTACAATGGCATCAGACAAAATAAAAGGCTTATGAATAAATTCAACAAATAAGTCTAAGACTTGTACGTACTGAAAACAATAAAACACCACTGAAGGAAATTAAAGAAGACCTAAATAAATGAAAAAACATCCTATGTTCATGGATTTGGAAGACTTAATATTGTTAAGATGTCAATGTTTCCCAAATTGGTCTACAGATTCAATGCAATCTTGATTGAAAGATTGTGTGCCTTTTTCTCAGAAGTTCACATGCAGATGCAAGAGACCCAGAATAGCCAACATGATCTTGAAAGAGAGAGGACTACACTTCCTGATTTAAAAACTTAATACAGGTTGGGTGCAGTGGCTCACACCTGTAATGCCAGCACTTTGGGAGGCTAAGTTGGGAGGATTGCTTGAGCCCAGAGTTTGAGATTAACCTGGGCAACATAATGAGACCCCATCTCTACAAAAAATAAAAAAAGATTAGCTGGGTGTGGTGGTGTGTGCCTGTAGTCCCAGCAACTTGGGAGGCCGAGGTGGGAGGATCACTTGAGCCCAAGAGGTCTATGATGCAGTGACCTATGATCAAGGCACTGCACTCCAGCCTGGGCAACAGAACAAGACCCTATCTCAAAAACAAAATGAAACAAAACAACCCCCCCAAACCCCAAAGAAAACCAAACTTACTACCAACGTCTAGGAATCAAGATAGCCCAATACTAGAAATGTAATAGAATTGAAAATCCAATATTAAACCTTCACATTTATGGTTAACTGATTTTTGACAAAGGTGTCAAGACAATTCAAGAGGATTAAAAAAAAGCCTTAACAAATGATGCTGGGACAACCGGATTTCCACATGTGAAGGAATGAAGCTGGACACTTACCTTACATCATGTACAAAACTTAACTCAAAATGGACCAAAGTTCTAAATGTAAGAGCTAAAACTATAAAACCATAGAGGCAAATGTTCATGACCTTGGATTGGTAAAAGGATTATTAGATATAATACCAAAAGCAGAAGTGACCAAACAAAAAAAAATAAGCGGGGCATTATCAAAATTGACAGCTTTTGTGCTTCAAAGGACACCATCAAGAAAGTCAAAAAGCAACCCACAGAATGGGAAGAAGTATTTGCAAATCATATATATATATATATATATATATATATATATAAAATTTGATAAGCCACTTGTATCCAGAATATATGAAGAACTCTAACAATTCAGCAATAAAAGACAATAACCTAATTAAAACATGGGCAAATGATTTGAATAAATATTTGTCCAAAGAAGATATACTCATGATCAAAAAGCACCTGAAAAGATGCTTGACATTATTAGTCATTAGGAAAGCGCAAATAGAACCGCAATAAGATACAACTACACACCCATTAGGATGGCTTTCATAGAAAAAGACAGGCAATAAGAAGTGTTGGTGAAGATGCAGAGAAATTGAAAACCCCATTCATTGCTGGTGTGAACATAAGATGGTGCTGTCACTTTGGAAAACAGTTTGGTAGTTCCTCAAAAAGTTGGGTGTAGTATTATCATATGACCAAGGAATTCCACTCCTAGATACATACCCAAGAGAACTGAAAACCTATATCCACACAATATCTTGCACAAGTGTTTTCAAAGCAGCATTATTCATAACACCCGAAAAGTAGAAACAATCCAAATGTCCGTCAACGAATGGGTAAACAACTGTGGTATTCCTTTCCAGTGGTAAGAGACAGAATTGATTAGGGAAATGAGGCAGATTCACTAAACTCCACTGAAGGACGGACCTGAGCCAACAGTTCACAGGAAAATGACACAAAAGGCCTTTAAATATATAAAAAGCATCATGTTTAAAGCTTCACTTGTCATCATGGGAAGTCAAACTAAAACACTGAATTACTATACTTTGTCCACCAGATGAGTGAGGATCAAATTTTGAAGATGTACTGTCTTAGTAAGAGGTTTAGGAAATTGGTATTTTCCTTCTGTACTGATGAGAATGGGGACTTCTTGACAAAATCTATCTTAAGTACAATTCCACATGCCCTTTGATCTAAACACAATATTTTAGGAGTCTATCCTATGATGATACAAAGTAATATAAGAATGTTTATTGCAATAACTTCCAATAACAAGCTACCGAAACCAGCCTAAACAACCAAAAACAGATTAAATGAGTAGAGATTGGTTAAATAAATTATGGTACATTCACAATGAAATCTTACACTGCTGTTAAAAAGTATTAATTTTTCCTAAAGATATATTAAATACATATAATTAAAAATAGAAAGAAGACTAGCATTAGACAAAAGCTAGAGAAGTAGGGAAAGTACATATATTTTTGCGTATTCCTAGAGAATTTCTAGAAGCATATACAGGAAACTTAACAATCGTGAGAGAGTTTGGAGAGGACTTTGGCTGGGGGTTCTGGAGTGGTGCAGAGATTTATTTTCACCACTTACTCTTTTGTACTACTTGATTTTCTAGAAGCATATGCAAGATGAATTTCTAGAAGCATATACAAGAAACTTAATAACTGTGAGAGAGTTTGGAGAGGACTTTGGCTGGGGTCTCTAGAGTGGTGCAGAGATTTATTTTCACCATTTACTCTTTTGTACTACTTGATTTTTATCAAGTGCGTGCATTACTTTTTTGCCTTTTAGGTTTTTATTTTATGCATGTTTAGACTTTTAAATTTTCAAATAATCATAGATTGACAAGAATTTGTGAAGGGGTCCCAATATCCTTCACCCAGTTTCTCCACTGTTTACGTTTTACATTCTACAAAACAATATCAAAACAAAGAAACTGACATTAGCACAATGTGTGTTCTTCTATTACATTGTATCACATGTGTAGATTCCTGTAACCACCAAGACACAAAACTATCCCATCATCCCAAGATCTCTCCTGCTACCTCTTTGTAGTCACACTTCCCCACCACCGCCTCTAACGCCTGCCAACCACTAATCTGTTTTCACTGTTTATAATTTTGCCCCTGGAAGAATGTTATACAAGTGAAATCGTACAGTATGTGACTTTTTGAGATTGGTTTTTTTCACTTAGCCTAATGCTCTTGAGATCCATCCATTTAGTTATTTGCATGAATAATTTGTTTCTTTTTATTGCTGAATATTGGCATAGATGTGTCACTTAGTTTAAGCATTCACTTAGTGAGGGACATTTTGGTTCTTTTCTAGTTTCTGGCTATGATAGGAAGACACAGGAGAAAATCATCTGGACCTAGGAGTTGAGGATGAGTTCATAGGCATGGCACCCAAGTACGATTCATTAAAGAAAGAATTGATAAATTGGACTTCATCAAAATTAAAAACTTTGCCTCTGCAAAATATTCTGTTAAGATGATGAAAGGACAAGCTATGGAGGGGAGAAAATATTTGCAAACTGCGTATCTGACAAAGGACTCACATTTACAATGCATAAAGAGCTCTCAAAACTCAACAGTAAAAAAAAAAAATCTGATAAGAAATTGGGCAATAGACATGAAGAGACATTTCATGGCCGAGTCAAATCAGCATGTGGAAATATACTTAACATCATTAGCCTTTGGGGAAATGCAAATTGAGATCATGAGAAATCACTGCACACTTATTTGAGCAGTTGAAATAAAAATATAATGATAAAACCAAATGCTAGCAAGGATGCAGAGAAACCAAATTTCTCATCCCTTGCTTGTGAGAATATAACATGATACACACAGCCACTCCCAAAAATAGATTGACAGTTTCTCAAAAAACATGCACTTACCATATTACTCAACAATCACATTCCTGGGCTTTTATCAGAGAAATTATAATTTAAGTTTGCACAAAAAGCTACACACAAATACTCATAACTGCTCTATTCGTCATGTTTTTATTGGCAGGTAATTTACATACAAAGAAATTCAAAAATCTTAAATTTCACAATTCAATGTGTTTTGTCAAATGCCTGCACTCCTGTCCCTCCCCCACTGTAAGATTTACAACACTCTAGCACCCCCAAAAAGTTATTTCATGCCCCCTTCAGCTAACCTCTACCATGCCACTCCATCCATAAACCCCAAAGCAACTATTAAAAAAAAAAAAAGGCAAAAAACGCAATTACTTTCGCACCAACCTAATACTAGTCTGATTTTTAAATCACAGATTCATTTTCATATAAATGGAATCATACAATGTTTATTCTTTCATACCTGACTTCTTTCATTCAGGAACACGATTCAGAGCTTCTGCTGTGCAGTAGGGGGCATCAATAGTTCATTTTCTTTTTATTGTCTGCTACCATTCCATTGTATGGATTCAACCTAGTCTGTTTATTCATTCTCCTGTGAATGAATATTTGGGTTATTTCCAGTTTTTGTCTTTTATGAATAAAGCTTCTATTTTCATCTTTTCAGAAGTCTATTTGTTAGATATGAGTTTTCACCTCTTTATCCTTGGATAAAAACCTAAGGATGGACTCGCTGGATAATATAATAGGGTATTTGTTTAAATTTACAAGAAACAAC
Organism: Homo sapiens; assembly: GCF_000001405.40. Classification (NCBI taxonomy): domain Eukaryota; kingdom Metazoa; phylum Chordata; class Mammalia; order Primates; family Hominidae; genus Homo; species Homo sapiens. The sequence continues at coordinate 204,453 of NW_021160001.1, forward strand.
CAAACAATTTTCAAAAGTGTTTGCGTTCTTTTCCTTACTCACTAGAAATACATGAGGTGGGCTTGTTTGAAGTTTGTGGATGTGTATGCGCTTCTCATGTGTGTACTGGCATTTGTCTACGTTCCTTTGTGAATAGTTTACCCAAGCCTTTTGCTCATTTTAAAAAACTGAACTTTTTGTTGAGTTATAGGAATTCTTAAATACTCCAGAATCAGGAATCAAGTCACTTTTTTATGTTTTATGCATATTTTCTCCTAGTCTTTTACTTGTCTATTGACTTGTTTCTTACTGATGAAGTTTTTTTCTCACGGCTTAAGTCCAAGGTGTGTCTTTTTCGTCCAGCCAGGTGGCCCCGGCAGGTCGCTCCTCAGGGACCCACATGGGCCAGGGCGGTGCAGCAGTGACCCACAGGGGCCAGTGCAGTTGAAGTGGCTTTGAAACCTGATTGGAGAAACAGACTGCTCAGCTGTTGAGAACACACAGCGCTCCAGAAAACTGGTGTTCAACACAACGCGTCACTCCGGCTTCCACTGCTGCTGCGGAGAGTCAGGTTCTCCGGCAAGGCCCCGCGCGCCCGCCCCCGCGCGCCCGCTTCTCTGTCCAGGGAACGCCTTTCTGCGGGCGGAGGCGGCTACGAGGGGGCGCTGCGAAAGCGGATTTCCAGGCACGCCTGGCGCCACTAAGCGGCGCTGAGACGGCGCTGCCTCCTGACTGCCGGTTGGAGGCTACAGGGGCTCTGGGGCAAGGGCCGCTTTTAGGAGTTTGCTGGTCACGAGGGGGGACGCGACCTCGTCCAAGATCTGTCTGCAAGGGACCCTTCCCAGCTGATGTGAACACAGCCCGGGGAAAGGGGCCGTCCGGGGAGCACAGGCAGCCCGGGAAGAGGAGTAGGGGCTGAAACCAAAGGCAGCCTGGGTACCCAGGTTTTCCCAGGGGACAAGTCCCCCGGTTAGCTGGGCACAGGGAGGCATGGAGAGCGGCAGCAACTGCGTTGGGATGGGGCGGCTGCCCCAGGTTGGGGCGGTGACCCATGTTCCACCAGGCCAGGCGCAGGGCTGAGGTGGCCGACTCCTGTTTCACAAGTGAAGACCTGGTCACCCCAGCAGCAAGGCATTCCGGAGTGGGAGAATTCCTGAGTCCTGGGGAGGAAGCCGTGGTTACAGGGCTGTGGCCCTGAGCAGGAGCTGGCTGGCCCAGCAGGGTGGGCCGAGCACTTCAGTCAAGGCTGAGCGCCAGGCACCAGGGACTCAGGTCTGAGAGACCTGATGTACATCCTGCTCCAGAGCAGATCACAGAGATGCGCCCGCATGAATCCCCAGGCTAAGCCCAGAATTCCGTGGAAGATGCCCATGGGCCAGGAACACGGGTAGTCACCGCGCTAGGGCATCACACAGGGCCCCCCTTGGCCAAATACCACGAGGGAACTTGGACACCTGCATGGGGCCATGGAAGTGCCTGCAACCTCACACTCAGGCCTAGGGCTTACCGAGGTATTGCAGATATTTGTGTTCTCAGAGTAGGAGCTTAGGAATCAGTATCTTCTCTTCGCTACAGGGACAGAGATGCAGTGGCCTAGGACACATCACAAATATTTAAAACGATGTCCTTGGTCAAGGACAGAGGTAGCCAAGGCCAGCCTTCTCCCAGGAAACTAACCCAGGACCCCAAAGCACAGAGCTGTTAGGTGGGAGGGAATTGGTCTGTATGTCTCCCTATACTGTTGCAACACTTCGGCGCTGGGCTCCCTGTCCCAGACTCACCTTCCATACTCAAGCCAGAGGCTTACGAAAGCCGGGTTAAGATCCTCCCCTGCCTGTCCCTGTAAAGCTTCCCCACTGTCTCTGGAAATCGTTTGAGCTTCTTAGCCCCACAGCATGAGCCCGCTCTGACTCAGGCCCTGACAAGCTCTTTCTCTTCTGTCTCTCCCTCCTCTGTTGATATGGACACACCATTCCTTTGGCATGTCTAGTACAGACCAGATCCCCTGCTGTTGTTAGCATTCCTCCCTCTCCCTGGAATGTTCTTCCTTATCTGTCTACCTGATAAGCACTGAGTCATCCTGCAAAACTCTGCACAGCTTTCACCTTCCCTGAGGAGCCTCCCCTGGCCAGCCCCACCCTGTTGCAGGCAGAATGCTTGGCGGTGGGTTGCTGACCAACGATGTGGGTTGCTGACCACAAATCCATTCCCCCTTTATTCCTTGCCAAGGGAATGCTGATTTTGCTCAGGTTGTCAACCCTCAGGGAGGTGACCCTAAACATGCCAAGTCCAACACACTAGCTCTACCCCCTGAGAGCATGAGAACAACACAGATGGGCATGTGCCCGGATCTGGCCTTGCCCTCATGGACTGCAGGTCAGGGGTGGGAAGCTCTTATAGAGCAGCCCCAGGAGCCCTAGGGGCCATCCTGCTGGCCATGCCATGGCAGTGTCAGAACCCCAAACAGCACCTGGGGTGAAGGAGCTACTGAAAGAGTGGAGAGACTCCACTTTGTCCTGTTAGATCTGTCTCAGAAGTATTTTTATTAGGATTGACTGGGGAAGCTTTCTTCCACAGGGAGCCTAAGGGGGCCCAGAGAGTCTTCTCAGAATTGGAGGCCATCAAGGATTGGCTCAGGCTCGCTGGCTACTAGGCTCTCCTGTTCCCAAAGTCCATACTCTTGTTTGTTGTTATTCAAAAATATTTGTTGAAAGCCTGCTATCTACTAGGCCCTGAATGTTTAAAAACAAATAAAGTTGTGCTCATCGGTGTCCACACACACGATATCCCTTGCTTGTGGAGTCACGCTCTGCTATTACTCCTGTTAGCACTTCAAGCCCCTTGTGTGTGCCAGACCTGGGCCAGGTGCTTTAGAAGCAATGCTTATGTCATGGCTTCCTCAACAGTTGTGCTAGGTAAGTACTGATGCCTCACTTTACAGAAAGGGATCTGGACTCCCTTACACAGCTAGTAAGCGATGCTGTTGGGACTCCCCAGCCTGACTCAGAAGCTGAGCTCTATCTACCTCCCCTGCCCTACTGATGACTCCACCTTTCCCAGGCAATGAGTGTTCCTGGAACGTTCCACTGAAGGAAGCTTCACCCACAGGAACGCAGGTCGTCTGGGAATGTGGGAGGCATCTCAGCTCTCAGTGCCTGCCGGCTTCCCTCTGCCCCAGCACTCGGGGGCTGTGGTGCACCAGCGAGTGCCCAGGCTGTGTAACCGCATCCCTGAGGAGCATGCAGTCCCGCAGGGGTGCGGTAGGTCTCAGGTGCAGCATTTGTAAGCAGCTCCCGGGCTGGTTCTGATTTTGCTGCATTGAGAAGCCTCTGTCTCACTTCCCACTCTAAGGTTTTAGAAAATAAGTGTTCTGGGAATCGGAGCCCTGGCTATCAGTGTGGAGTCCTGGAGCTCCAGACCTCCTGCTGAGAAGGAAGGGTCAGCCTCAGGCTCCTGCAGGGTCTTGCCCAGGGCCGTGCTAGTCCAGACAGGCACATTTTCACTGAAAAGGTGACTCAGACCAGCCTGTGACTACATCTATTAATATAACTTGTTCTGTGACAGGCACAGGGGAGCTGCCACGCCTTGGCCTTCCCCTGCTATGTGGCTGCCCAGAGGCCTGGGAGATGGGTTTGTCTCTATGAGAGACACAGAGGAAAAGGCAACACCAAAAAGAGAGGTGCAGATGGGCCCTGCCTGCAGACAGATCTCTCTCCAGTGGCTCCCTCATCTCCTCCCATCCCGTTCCTGGCCCAGCTTTGTGCCTAGAGGACACTGGGTCTTCGCTAGCAGCTCAGCTGTTGCAGGTGGGGTCTACCTGTGAACTTGCTACCCCGAGCCAGCTCTCACATGGGGTATGGACGACCAGGGTATGGTTTTGGCCCTGGAGTCAGGCTGTTCAGATTCTCACCTAGACTCTCACACTTACTAGTGAGTTCGGGCACCTGCCTAGCCTACTTGTGCCTCAGTTTCCTCATCTGTGGATAAGGATACTGGTGTCTACTTCATAGACTCCTTGTGAGGTTCAAGGGAGATATTGAATGTGAGGTGCTTAGAGAAGGGTCCGGCCACAGAGTAGGGACTCAGTGAGTGTCACAGTGATCCTGTCAATTTGGCAGGTCCCTACATGGACAGCCCTTTGTCCTGCTGCACTGGGTGCAAGGCCCAGTGCCAGACTACCTTGGCCAGCAACTGACTTTGGAAACCACCCAGCACTGGGCTCTCCCTGCCATGTCCACCTCCTCAAAGGCAGGTTCCCAGCAGTCTGGTTGAAGCTGCAGGCCTCCATGGCCCCTTGTCCTGGAAGAAGTCTGCTTCCCTGGGGGCCAGGACAGCTGCCCCACCTCAGCCTGGCTTCCTCTTTGTCCCACCTGTCCAGAACCTAGCATGTCTGACCCTGAGGACACTTGCTTGGGTTGCGACATCTATGATCCAGAGACTCCCTGAAGCTGGACAAGCCTGGGTATCCCACAAAAGCTCACAGAGAACCTGGGGCTGGGCAGAGAGACCCAACTGCTCTCTGACTGGAGCCTGCTGGCCATTGGACCCTAGCAAGTCACTCAGTGTCTCTGAGCCTTCATTTCATCATCTGCAAAACAGAAAGTGCAGCCCTGACATCCTGAGGCTGCCTGGGAGGAAAGGAAAAGGGTGTGCAGAGCCGGCAGCCGGGAGATGTCACCTCTGTCCCCTTCTGGATATTCAACTCCTTAGCACAGCGATGGCCTCAGGCTCAACCATAGACAGAAAGCTCCCGAGAACCCATCAGTTCTGCTGGGCATGGGCTGCCCTGAGCCCCGGGTTCCTCCAGGCTCTAGCAGGCCAGGTCCTCCTGCTTCCCCTCTTCCCTCTCCAGTCTTGACAAATGAACATCATTGATCCCTGAGGTGAAGGCATTGATGGGTCCCCAACAGCAGGTTCAGGTTACTCTCATGCTCAAAGCCCTTCAGTGCCTTCCCACTTCTCTTAAGGTAAAGCCTAACTCCTCAGCCTGCCAGGCAAGGCCTTTCAGGACCTGGCCCTGCCTGCTTCCCCAGGTCCATCTCCTCCGGTACCAGGACCCTTGAGCTGTGCTGAGCAGCTTCCCTCAAAGCCAAGCTCCCCGCCCTCTGACCCTCTGCACACAGTTCCCTCTGCCAGGAGCAGTATGCCTGATTCTCCCCAAATGCACACGTGTGTGCACCCCATACACATTTACACACAAGGCTCAACCATGATACCCCCTCCTTTGAGTGGCCCCACCCCTGCAAGGGTCCCTCCCCTGGACTTTTCTCAAACCTCAGCTTCCCCCTTGCATTTCTAGATTTCTTCATCAGCCTGTCTCCCGGCCCAGGTCCCATCCCTGCCGTGGGCACTCTAGGCCTGGGGCTGTTTCTTCTCGGCCCCTTCCCACCCTCCATGCTTGGCCCAGGAGGCAGCCAAATGTAGACTGAGCCACTCCCAGCCAAGGGCGACTTTACATTTCTCAGGACTCCCTGGTGACCAGCACCCAACACCATGCAGGAACCCAAATCTCCTGCCAGCTCCCACTTACCCAGGCTTTCCACCAGGCCATCTCTTTCACTTCGGGGGCACCTTTCTCACGGAGATGAAGAGACACAGGTTGGCCTCTGCTGGGACTCCACATGTCTGGCTCCTGCAGCTGAGGAGTGAGCAGGCCGCTCACTTGGGTGTGGGGGTGCAAGCCCGCCCAGGGCAGCGCTACACCTGCCTGCCGCCCCCTCGCCCCCGGGCTCTGCCTGGCTTTGGGCGTCTCCTGTGGCTCCCAGGCCCCACCCAGACACTGCCCAGGCCTGCTCTGGGGAATTACACAACTCTCTGGCAGGTATTTGGGCTGTGGCTGTTACGCATACTGGAAATTCTTAGCTCCAGCCTGCGAAAGCCCCACTCAGTAAACACAGCTCCATGTTGATTAGGCTGGTCTCAAACTCCCGACCTCAGGTGATCTGCCCACCTTGGCCTACCAAAGTGCTGGGATTACAGGCATGAGCCACCGCACCCAGCCCATTTTCATCATTCCTAATAGCCGTGGAGTATGCCATTTAATCAACTGCATATGCAATATTATTTTTTTTTCCGGGGGCAAGGGGCTCATATTCACCACAGATGGGAGGCCAGTTGGTGAGAAGGTGGCAGGCGGCACAGCCACCTTATACAGCATGCCATGCTGGTCCACTGTCAGACCGGTGATGGCCTCAGCTCCATCACCCCCCAGGCTGACTCTGGCTCCTGCCTGGCTCTGCCCGGCCACCACAACCCCTCGGGACCATTCAGAGGCATCACTGGAGGATGTGTGGTTAGTGGAGCAGCTGGTCATGGGGAGGTCTCGTTTCTTTGGTGGAAGGCATTCCTGGTTCCTCTCATGAACAGGTTTCATATTGCTTTGTGGTGTTCCTGGAGCCTGGAAGGAGTTGGCTTGCTCCCTGGGGCATCAGGAGGGGCTTCTCTGTAGCTTCTCTGAACCCCTCTCTGCTTCTGGCTGGGGCACCTACATCTGAGCTTCCAGTGGTGCTTCTGAGCAGCTGTAGTAAGCGTCCTCCCGGCTGGCTCGGGAGCCAGCCCATTTCACCACGCTTCCAGGGATCCACCCGCTCATCCTGGAGCCGCTACAAACCTGGCCGCCGCCATCCCCAGCCCCGGAGCCGCCCCATACCCCTGTATGTGCAATATTTGTTAACCATTCCCTTTTGGTGCCCATCTAGGTACAGGTATCATTTTTGGAGCTAAAGTATCTATAATACACTGGAAGTAACAGATGTCACCTCCATATTGTACGCCAAACCTAATAAGCAGAGCAAAACTTTTCATCCAAGCGATTTAGTTAACATTTTAGGATGTTTCTAATCTTTCAGTAATACAAATATGCTACAATAGATCTGTGTGTTTATCCTTTGGGCACCTGTGTGTGCCTGTGCATACCTGGAGAATAAAGTCCTGTGAGAGGAACTGCCATCCAAAGAGGGTGTTTCAGTCTGTACTGCCACCAACAATGTGCTTGTGCTTCTGAGCTTGCGTTTGGGTCAGGAGAATTTGAAAGTCATCAGGAACCAAACCAGGATATAAGGTTCAGCTGTAGCTGGAAAGTGGCAAGCGTTCCAAAGCTAAGACATTGGCTATACCTGGGCTGTTCACAAACTGTGAGTCCAATTCTAGATGAGATCCAGAAGTACGGTGAGCAACTCACTTATTTTTAAGCAAAACACCTTTTCTTCTCATTTCTGCTAGGAACAAATAGCTTCCAGCAAGAGAAATAGGGGATGCAATATTTTTACAAATTACTTCTCTTTTTTTTAATTAAAAAAATGTTAAGTTAAATGCTACTTAAAGATATGTTTAACCTCTATGATACTGACTTTTAACCTCTATGATATGCCATTTAATCAACTGCATATGCAATATTATTTTTTTTTCCGGGGGCAAGGGGCTCATATTCACCACAGATGGGAGGCCAGTTGGTGAGAAGGTGGCAGGCGGCACAGCCACCTTATACAGCATGCCATACTGGTCCACTGTCAGACCGGTGATGGCCTCAGCTCCATCACCCCCCAGGCTGACTCTGGCTCCTGCCTGGCTCTGCCCGGCCACCACAACCCCTCGGGACCATTCAGAGGCATCACTGGAGGATGTCTGGTTAGTGAAGCAGCTGGTCATGGGGAGGTCTCGTTTCTTTGGTGGAAGGCATTCCACCCTCTCTCATGAGAAGAAAGAGAGAGGGTCAGGCATCTTGCCCACTACTACCCACTATCAACACTTAGGCCTGACATCAGTCTCTAAATAAATATTCTGGGCCAGGTGCGGTGGCTCACGCCTGTAATCCCAGCACTTTGGGAGGCCAAGACAGGTGGATCATGAGGTCAGGAGATCGAGACCATCTTGGCTAACATGGTGAAACCCCATCTCTACTAAAAATACAAAAAATTAGCCAGGAGTGGTGGCGGGCACCTGTAGTCCCAGCTACTGGGGAGGTTGAGGCAGGAGAATTGTTTGAACCCAGGAGGCAGAGGTTACAGTGAGCCAAGAACATGCTACTGCACTCCTGCCTGGGCAACAGAGTGAAACTCCGTCTTTAAAAAAAAAAAAATCAACAGCAGCTTCTAGGATGATGAGCAGTGACTCAGTCTCTCCTTGACCAGATTCTGTAACCATCCAGCAGAAATGCTTATCTGATCTCTGCGAGAACAGGAAGCAGCTCAGTGGGGGCCTTCCTTGCTAAATTCTTCATCAAGCTGGTCTGTTATCTGCCCTGAGTCCTGCAAGAACATCTCAAGAAAAATCCCAAAAACATGCAAGACAAATGAGGGTCCTCCCTTAGCATGTCTTGAAGCACTGAGGCACCTGAAAGTTGTATATAGTTTCTGGGGAAACAGTTTTTTAGGAAATGTAGCACAGACACTAACTATTCTTCCAGAAGAGCCCCTTCCTGACATGAAAGATCTTACTTAGCATGACAGAGAAGTATCTGATTCATCATGAGGACCTATCCAACCAGCAGCAGGGGCCCCAGTGCCAGTGTCCACCTCAGCAGAGGAGACACGGGGGACATGCAAAGTGTTTCTGTTGAAAAATACTTCACCTAGGGTGACTATAGTTAGCAGCAATGTATTGTATATTTCAAAGTAGCTAGAAGGCTAGGTACAGTATCCCATGCCTATAATCCCAGCATTTTGGGAGGCCCAGGCAGGCAGATCACCTGAGGTCAGGAGTTCGAGACCAGCCTGGCTAACATGGTGAAACCCCATCTCTACTAAAAATAAAAACAATAAAAAAAATAATAATAAAAATTAGCCGGATATGGTGGCCTGCGCTTGTAGTCCAAGCTACTTGGGAGGCTGAGGCAGGAGAATTGCTTGAACCTGGGAGGCAGAGGTTGCAGTGAGCCGAGATCACACCATTGCCCTCCAGCCTGGGTGACAGAGCAAGACTCTGTCTCAAAACAAAAACAAAAACAAAAACAAACAAACAAAGTAGCTAGAAGAAGGGACTTGAAATGTACCCAACACATAGTAATACCAAATATTCAAGGTGATAGACACCCCAAACACCCTGATTGATCACTATTCTGTGCATGTAATAAATACTTAAATGTACTCCATAAATATGTAAAATATGTTATGTCAACAAGAAAATACTTTGCCTAGTGTTTCCATCCAAATGGGAATAAATCCAGCGCTCAATGTACACATGTCATGGCTTTTTATTGAGACTGGGGAAGGGCCGTGGTAGCAGGTGCACTCACTGTCCAAGTTTGTCCAGACTTTCTGCTGCATGGGTGATGGCATTTGTGACTGTGTTGGTCACTGTCTCGGTGATTTCCTTCATCTTTTTGTCCCCTGACTCCTGGGCTTTCTTTATGGCTTCAGCAATGGCTGTTGGAAAGAAAGAGGAAGAATGTCCTAGTGATCCACCTGCTGAACTTGTGTCCCCTTGAGTGGCCTGTGGGATGTGGCCATCTTAATGGATTAGTCTCTGGAGTGGCCCGATGGGACCAAGGGCAGCAGGATTACTGCAGAATGAATTTGAATTTGGTTTTAATTTCCCCAACAACTTGCATTTCTTCAACTGTGAGTGAGACTGAGCATCTACTCATGGGTACATTGCCTGCTTATCCTTTTTTCTGGAAAATGCCTGCTTATGTCTTTTGACCATTTTTATATTGGGTTGTTATATTGGATTATCATTTTTATGACAAATATTTTTCATCAGTGTATAATTTTTCTTTTGGCTTGGTTATAGTGTTTTTTTTTTTTTGGCTATAGAAAATTTCAGTTTTGGATTGTCAAATTTACTTAATATTTCCTTTATGGCGCTGATTTTTTTGTCATAGTTCTGAAGATTCTCCCCTCTCCAAGATTAGGCCAAAGTCTCTGAAGTTATTACTATGTCTAAATGTTTATGATGTCTTCCCCCTCAAAACTCATATGCTGAAATCCTCAGTCTTAATGTAATGATATTAAGGGGTGGGGCCTTTGGGAGGTTGAAATTAGCACCCACATAAAAGAGACCACAGAGAGCTAGCTCCTTCCACCATGTGAGGACAGAGCTGGGCCCATCCATGAACCAGAAAGACTCCCTCACCAGATGCCAAATGTGCCAGTGCCTTCCTTGATCTTGGACTTCCCATCCTCCAGGAGTGTGAGAAATAAATTTCTGTTGTTTCTAAGTCACCCAGTTTATGGTTTGTTTTTGTTTTTGAGACAGAGTCTTGCTCTGTCACCCAGGCTGGAGTGCAGTGGTGCAATCTCAGCTCACTGCAACCTCCGCCTCCCAGGTTCAAGGGAGTCTCCTGCCTCAGACTCCTGAGTAGCTGGGATTACAGGCATGTGCCACCATGCCCAGCTGGTCTTTGTATTTTTAGTAGCAATGGGGTTTTACCATATTGGTCAGGCTGGTCTCGAACTCCTGACCTCAGGTGGCCCACCCGCCTTGGCTTCCCGAAGGGCTAGGATTACAGGCGTGAGCCACTGCACCTGGCCTATGGTATTTTATAATAGCAGCCTGAGCTAAGATGGTTATCTCCTAGTAAGTTAATAAATTCATTTATGTAAATGTAAGTCCTTCATCTACCTGGAATCTATTTTGTTGAAAAGGAATGAGATATACACATGCTTTGTACATAGTACTACTCATAGCTCACACACATCAATTTAACATTTAACATAGAATTTTACATGTTAATTTTTTTTTTTTTTTTTTTTTTTTTTTTTGAGACAGAGTATCACAGTGTCGCCCAGGCTGGAGTGCAGTGGCGCGATCTCGGCTCACTGCAAGCTCCACCTTCCAGGTTCACGCCATTCTCCTGCCTCAGCCTCCCGAGTAGCTAGGACTACAGGTGCCCGCCACCGTGCCCAGCTAATTTTTTGTATTTTTAGTAGAGATGGGGTTTCACCGTGGTCTGGATCTCCTGACCTCATGATCCGCCCACCTCAGCCTCCCAAAGTGCTGGGATTACAGGCGTGAGCCACCGCCCCCAGCAATTTTTTTGAGACCGAGTTTCGCTCTGTAGCCCAGGCTGGAGTGCAGTGGCATGATCTAGGCTCACTGCAAGCTCTGCCTCCCAGGTACACACCATTCTCCTGCCTCAGCCTCCCAAGTAGCTGGGACTATAGGCACCCACCACCATGCCCGGCTAATTTTTATGTATTTTTAGTAGAGACGGGGTTTCACCGTGTTAGCCAGGATGGTCTCGATCTCCTGACCTCGTGATCCGCCCTCCTCAGCCTCCCAAAGTGCTGGGATTACAGGCATGAGCCACCGTGCCCTGCCATGTTAAATGTTTTGTCCCAGTGTGCTGTCACATAGTCTTGTGTGACTTTGTCTTCTTATTCCACAGAGAGAACCATCTAGACAGTGTCCTAACGCAGTACGGTCTGTGGCCTCTGATGAGCATAGATAACTGCCCCAGCCAAGAGGCTCTGAAAGGCTGCAACATTAGGGGCAGAGTTTGACCTGGTTAGTCAAAGAACAGGTTGGCCCAGCACCTAGCTTCCCTTCCTCCCTCCCTCCTTCCCTGCCCGACCTCAGCCGGCTGTACCTTTCTCTCCAGTCTCCTTGGCATGTCCCACCACCTCCTTCACCACTTCCTCCACGGCATGAACTGAACAGAGGAGACAAGTCCAGGGTGAGGGCTCAGAGCAGGCCGGCTGCCCCTGAGTCCAGGGTGAGGGTTCAGAGCAGAGCCGCTGCCCTCCCAGTCCAGGGTGAGGGCTCAGAGCAGGCCCACTGCCCTCCCAGTCCAGGGTGAGGGCTCAGGGCTGGCTTATCCTCACAACAGACCTATACATCCCTGGGCATCCTAGATGGGGCTCTGGGATGCCACCCCCAGCCAGGACAGACTGGCTCATGAGAAGGACCTTCCCCCACAGCTGGCTTCATTTGGAGACGCCAGGGCCTTGGCTACCGGGAGACGAGCTCAGTGAGCCCCATGAGGGCATGGGTCCCTGAAGCCCCTTGGCCCTGCCCGGCCTGGAATGGCAATGAGCAGGCAGTCTTGCCAGCTGAGACATGAAACCCAGGCTGGGCCTGTGTGCCAGGTCACACCCCTCTCAGGATGTGCTAGCGCCTGCCTCAGGTTGGTTTCCAAAGCCTCATCCACTAAGACCAGGTCTCTCAAAGCAATTCCTCCAACAAAACGGAATTCTCTGCCTACTTCAGAGTTTTTTAAAGTGTGGGTGGTAGTGTGCTAGAACTGAAGGATTTCAGAGTCAGAAGAAATGGTTCTTATTCTAACTCTACCTTCCACCTCTTGGTTCCCTCATCTTTAGAATGGGAATCTGTTGGGATGATGAGACCCAACACCAGGTCACGGGGGCGGCAAGTCCAGCGGAGTCAAAGGAATGAGAAAGAGACAGTTCGAGAGAGAAAATGGGAGCAGGGCGCTATCGCGAGTGTGGAGGCTGCGAAGGCCCCGAGTTCTGGGAGCCCACGCTATTTATTGGTGATCTAACAAAGAAACAGGTGGTGAGGATGTGGAGGTTGAAAGGCAACAGTGTATCAAGTGAATGAGAAACATATGGCTACTTGAGAGAATGGCAGTGCTAGAAGCAAGGAGCCAGCAAGTCTAGCAAGCCCTGCCTCAGCTTTTCTCCCAACACTCAGCTTTTCTCCCAACAGGAATCATAGAAAACTCAGAGGCTAGTGAAAGGTTAAAGCAGGTGGTCCACACCAGCTGCAGAGTCAAAAACAAAATACGCATCTGCTGCCATTTAGAAAGAGGACACAAACTCAGGCAAGACTTTTTCACACGATGACCCATGAGTGGGGCCTGGCTGGGCCTCCCCACACATACCTGCTGACCTCTGAATACAACATACACTTCGGGACCAGGTGCAGTGGTTCACGCCTGTAATCCCAGCACTTTGGGAGGCCAAGAGGAATGGATCACTTGAGGGCAGGAGTTTGAGACCAGCCTGGCCAAAATGGCGAAACCCCGTCTCTGCTAAAAATACAAAAATTAGTCGGGCGTGGTGGTGGGTGCCTGTAATCCCAGCTACTCAGGAGGCTGAGGCATGAGAATCACTTTGAACCCAGGAGGCAAAGGTTACAGTGAGCCGAGATCGCACCACTACACTCCAGCCTGGGTGCCAGAGCAAGACTCCATTTCAAATACAAATACAAATAAAAATAAACATGCTTTAGGGGACTTGGATGAAATTGAAAATGCCCTTTTTGACTTTGAACAGACTTGGTGACTTGTTAAGAAATCTTTGAAGCTTTAAAGTTATGGTAAAAATAAAAATCCATCTTCCTTTTCCTGCATAGGTTATTCAGAATAGGCTGTTTTGACAAGAAAGGCTCCCCAGATTTCCAGAGGGAAGGGTCCAAGCTGCCAGTGTTCACCCAGCACCAGGACTCATGCCCTGCCCCCAGGAGACCTCCCCAGGTCTGCACCCCTCAACTCCGTGCTGACTTGGTAGAGCAGGAGACCAGGGTTCCTGAGGGGCCAAGGCCTCCCCGCAGGTCCTCGCCTGCCTACGTAGATCCGCCTCCCACAGACCCAGTCTGCCCCAGATCCCCCCAGCCCAGGTAGAAAGGAGCCCCGGGTCCTCACTGGCTCCCTCGGTGGCCTTCTCGGTGCGGTGGGCCAGGCCCTCGGCAGCCAGCTTCCCCAGGCCTCCCAGCATCGTGTGGCAGCAGACAGTGGCGAACTAGGATGCTGAGGACTGGCCCAACATGCTTTTATAGCTGCCTCTGGTGTCTGTCTAGGCTCTGGGGCAATAAGCCCTCACCCCAGCCCAGTAGGAGGCTGGACAGGTGAGTCAGTGAGGGCGGCAGCAGGAAGGGGCTGGGCGGAGCCACCCTGGAACTAGGGTGGCAGCATCCCCTGACAGCATGAGGCTTCTGTAACCCTGTCCTAGGGACCCCGTGAAGGATAGGGGCAGGGAGCAGGGCTGGACAGTAGAGATCTGGACATGCTTCTTCCTTGAGGCAGAGGGCCTGAGTGCCAGCCCCCCTGAGACCAAAGCTTCCCAAGCCTGGGTACTGATATGTACCTGGAGACAAGGCCTAGGATTCCAAGCCTGCTGCTCAAGGTCCCCAGTGTGGCCTAGTAAGAGGTTTGGGGGTTCTATGGGCCTGGAGACCTGGGCAGTCCTTTGGGTCATGAACACAAGTGGAATGAGGGTGACTGCCCTCCCCATTCCTGGAGACCCTGGCTCTGCAGAGCAGTTTGCGGCCTCCATGGGACAGGGTGGGGCGTTCAGGGTGGTGCCTTGCCCGAGTCAGAGGGGGGCACAGCACTGGGCAGAAGCGTAGTCACCTGGTGTCACTCAGCTGATGCTCACTCACCCAAGAGGCTCTGTGAGGTCAGCAGTGCCCTCCTATCCCCTGGCAGTCCTGGAGGAGTAGACAGAGGCCTCCACCACCACTCAGGGAGATGCTTCTGGCCTTAGCTAGAATCCCCTAGGAAGCAGCTTCCCTGGCTCCTGGTGCATCGCATGAGGAGTGGCAGGGCTGCTCCCTAGTTACTCATGATGGACAGACATGCCTCAAGCCACCTGCCACATGCTGCTTCCCTTAGTCACCAGCCCAACCTGAGCCTCCGTTTCCTCATCTGTAAAATGGGCATAGCGTGTCTTCTTGGCTGTGTCCCTAATCATCCCTGAGACAAAGCATGCAAGCTCCTGGTAAACACCTGTTCCCTCCACTCATCATTGAGGTGCCCTTTGGCAGTGAGCTCTGACCAACTGGTAGGGTGTGCCAAGGAGTGACTGGGACGTGAGGCTGCCTTGGAGCCAGAGGGCTGGGGAATGTGACTTCTGCTGGCCAGGAGCCAAGGAGAGGTCTTCCCATGCTCCTACTTCTGGGGTGCAGGCCTGTGGCAGGGGTCTGAGGCTCTCTCCCCAATGCAGGCTCCTGGAGCTGCTCTCCTGGATGTGTCGGGGCCTGATTAGTTTACTGGACTGTGGGCCCTCCCAGCCTGGGACTCGGGAGCTGAGACCTTCTTGCATTCCTGCATGGTGTTTGCGGGCTCCAGGGCTACGGCCAGTCCCCCTAGGGTGGACAGTGGGTATCGTGGGCAGCAGGACCTCTGGGTCTCAAGACTGTGGCCCCACACATGCCATTGCTGTCTCCTTTGGGCAGGGGTGGATCGGGGCTTCAACAATTTAGAGGGGCCTCTTTATGAAAAAGAATACAATAATATGATTCTTGCACATTTTTCATTTATATACGTATGAACTTCTGGACCCAGAAGGGGCTGTGAAAGTCGGGGGCCTGGAGCTCAGGCGGGTCCAGATGACCCTGTCCTCCTTTTGTAACAGCCAGAGTCCAGGATGCTTTGCCCAGGGCATTGGGCTGGCACTGCAGAGGCCTGGGGGATGGGGGGACACCTGGGACATGGCTGGTGGGAATTGTTCTAGGAAACCTCAGGGATTCTCCCTGGACCTGTCAAAGCCCCTTCCCTGTTTCTTCTGAGGCTGTGTGTCCCCCCACTCGCACAAGGGTCCTTTCTATGCCTGCTCCCCTGATAAATGTCATCTGCCTGCTCTAGAATGGCTTCCAGACCCCACAGACCCCCTCCTCATGAGCTCCCACCCTAGGGTACTCTCCACCAGTCCGCGCTTTCAGGAGCTCACCAGACCCAGACAGCCTGTTGTCAGAGCTCATCCACACAGCAGGACCCTGGCCCACTGCCCAGCCCAGAGCCAGGCCCACCACGGCCTCTGGGGACAACTGCCCTTCCCCCCACCCCCTCCACATGGTCCCTTGCCCATGAGACCCTGCCCTGCTAATTTAATGCACTGCCTTGGTGTGAGCACTGTGATTCTAATGACAACACACCATGGCCTTCTGGGCGAGGCTGGGTCCAGACACAGATCCCAAATGCCTGCTGGGGAGAAGGCAAGAGGCCCGGGGAGGCCCAGGACAAGACATGGGTCCCAGGCCCTGGTGCCCTCCCTCTTGGCCTTCCAGCTGCTGCTGCTGTGACCAGATTCCCATTCACCCAGCCCCGTCCATGGGCCCCAGCAAGCCATCTGTGCCCCACAGAGGGCAGACCCCTAAGAGTGGGACCCCTTTCTAGCCAAAGAACATGAGATAGCCCCAAATCCTCCTAAACATGATGGATCCTGGTCTGAGGGGCTGGGCTCAGGTGACTCCTGCAGGGAACTTCACCTGCCTGGATGAGGTCAAGTGTGAATCAGGTGGGGCCTGCCCTCCACCACCCCATCATGGAAGAGGTCCAGCCCACAGTGGGCCCAAGAGGGCCGCCCTTGGACCTAGGGACCCAAGTCAGCATATCCTGAGTCAGAAGGTCAAGTCCAGCCTCCCCTCAGGCAGGGAGAATCTGGCTTTGACAGGAGCAGATAAATTCTCAAGGTGGAATTTGCCCAACATACTAGTTTGGCAAGGGACTAGCTGGCTGAATCATTGAGTCAAGGACAGCCAACGTTTCCAATAGCAATTTGCCAACTTAGCAATTACCAATTCTGAAAAACAATTTGTTTATTTGAAACACTTAAATACTTAGGCTGTCTCATGTCTGAAGCATGATGATGCCTTGCGTGATTTAAAGGACAGACGTCACGAATGCCAAGAGTTTTGTGGCGGTCCATCCTGCCAGTGTCTTCTCCCACTTTTGTTCTGTGGATTTGAGCTCACAGTTTGTGCTGTGCCCACCGCCTGCCCACCCTAACGAGACTCCTGGAGACTTGGCTGGCCAGTCACCAGAGGAAGAGGGGCCCAGCAGCACGCCAGCATTCACCCACCTGTGGGTATCAGTCAGGCTCCTGGTGGAAGCCAGAGGACATATTCGAATGGGTATTTGAGGAAAGGGGCTGTTCACAGAAGTGTGGACCGAGTTAAGGGAACCAATAAGAGATGAGGAATGTCCTGGACCAGCAAGAGTGGGAGCTGTTATCTCCCTGGGTCTAAAGGGACAGGAAAGGTGTCCACAGATCCCAAAGAGAGCTGTGGCTGTAGAGGAGGATCATCAGGAGCTGCAGCCATCAGTAGAAAGATGTGGCCACTGCCAAACCAGCAAGGAAGAATCTGAGCGAATAACCACCTCTCCTCTCTCTCTCTCTCCCACCTCCTATGACGTCCTCCACTGTGTGAATTCCACTAGGGCCAGACAGTGAGGCACCCTGGTGATGCAGTCCAAGAGGGAGTGGGCAGAGAGGAGCCAGTGGGTATGGAGGGGAAACAGAGAAACAGAGAATTCCAGCTCACTCTGCGGGATTTCTGGGTCTGATAGAAACATGGCATTATTATTATTATTATTATTATTTATTATTATTTTGAGATGGAGTTTTGCTCTTGTTACCCAGGCTGAAGTGCAGTAGCATGATCTCGGCTCACTGCAACTTCTGCCTCCCACGTTCAAGAGATCCTCCTGCCTCAGCCTCCCGAGTAGCTGGGATTACCGGCACATGCCACCATGCCTTGCTAATTTTTGTATTTTTGGTACAGATGAGGTTTCACCATGTTGAACAGGCTGGTCTTGAACTCCTGACCTCAGGTGATCCACCTGCCTCGGCCTCCCAAAGGGCTGGGATTACAGGCATGAGCCACTGTGCCCAGCCTGCAGCAGCTTAATTTTACAGTGTCCCTTTTCTCCTTCTGGAAACTATATGGGGCAACAACAAGACTGAGGAGGAAGAGGAGGAGGAGGAGGAGGAGGAGGAGGAAAAAGCCCATCATCAATACACACATCAAACTCAACTTCAGAGAAATTAGGAAGCTGGGAAGCCACGTAAACCCAAAAGCAGGAGACACCAGCAGAACCAACGCAGGAAGCCAGGGAAGTGCAGAAGAACAGGGCATGGGGGGCAACCCAGGGGGGAATCTTCACTATTGCCAGCAACACACATTCCCAGCAGGAGAGGACCCTCAGAGTGAGAACGCAGAGCTGGAGAAGTGAAGAAGGAGCAGGTGGTGCCCGGGGAAGTCCAGGGGTGTGGGATCTGAGAGCACCCCTTCCCAAGAGAGGCGGGAACACTTGGGAAGGCAGGGCTGAGTCCCTGGAGGCTGTATCTGGGAAAGGAGGCTGGCAGTAGAATCTTCCTGAAGGCGAGTGGGTTCTGAGAGGCAGAGGGGCAGTGGTACAGAGGTGAGGCTGACGCTTCTGTGCAGGAAGGTCAGGCTCCTGAGGAAGGGAGCCCCGAATGCTCTCCACTAGATTCCCAGGGAGCCCCACTCCCTCCACAGGGACCTCGCGCTGACATCTGGGAAATGCCATTCATACTGGAACGTCCAACACACTGCCATGAATGTGAGGGTTTTGTGACTGATGGGGTAGGTTTCTCTCTTCCAACTTAATAGTATAATGTCCATTTATTCCTCCCCCAGCCTCCCTGAACATGCACCTCTTAGATAGCCACAGTACGGTGATCAGAACCAGGAAATCCACATTCTCATATTTAACTATATTAAAATTATTTCACAAAATAACCAATTTTATTAATTTAATTAAATACATTTAACTAATGTTTAAATATATTTAAATAATTTAACTGATTTAAAATGAACATATTCGCTAAACAAAAGACCTTATTGGAGTTTCACCACTTTTTCCACTAATGTCCTTTTTCTGTTCCCAAATTCCACCCAGGATCACGCTGCATTTAGTTATTTCTTAGTCTCTCGCCATTTTGTAGGACTGCAATAACAGTTCCTCAATCTTTCCTTATCTTTCATAACCGTGACATCTTGAACCAGTACTGATCAGTATTTGTGAAATGTTCCTCGATTTGGGATTGTCTGATGTATTTCCATGATTGGACTGAAGTTACGAACTTTTGGCAATTACAGCACAAAAATGATGTGGAATCCTTCCCAGTGCATTCCATCAGAGTTATGGCATTGATAGTTCTTCTTACTGATGATGTTGAACTTGTTCATTTGGTTCAGGTTTCTGCTGGGTTTCTCCATTGTAAAGTTACTATCTTTCCCCCTCATAGGGGGAAAGATCTTAGGAGAAATACTTGGAGACTATGAAAATTTTGTATTTTCTCAAACTTTAAAATTTTTTTTCAGGCCAGGCACAGTGGCTCACGCCTGTAATCCTAGCACTTTGGGAAGCCGAGGTGGGTGGATCACCTGAGGTCAGGAGTTCAAAACCAGCTTGATCAACATGGAGAAACCCCATACCTACTAAAAATACAAAATTAGCCAGGCATGGTGGTGCATGCCTGTAATCCCAGCTACTCAGGAGGCTGAGGAAAGAGAATTGCTTGAACCCGGGAGGAGAGGCTGCAGTGAGCTGAGATCGTGCCATTGCACTCCAGCCTGGATAACAAGAGCAAAAGTCCATCACAAAAAAAAAAAAAAAAAAAAAAAAAAAAAAAAAAAAAGGCCAGGCGCAATGGCTCACACCTGTAATCCCAGCACTTTGGGAGGCCAAGGTGGGTGGATCACCTGAGGTCAGGAGTTGGAGACCAGCCTGACCAACATGGAGAAACCCCATCTATACTAAAATAAAATACAAAATTAGCTGGGCATGGTGGTGCATGCCTGTAATCCCAGCTACTCAGGAGGCTGAGGCAGTAGAATTGCTTGAACACGGGAGGTGGAGGTTGCTGTGAGCCGAGATCCTGCCATTGCACTCCAGCCTGGCCAACAAAAGCAAACCTCCATCTCAAAAAAAAAAAAAAACAACAAAACACCTATTTTGACAGCCGGGCATGGTGGCTCACACCTGTAATCCCAGCACTTTGGGAGGCCAAGGCAGGCGGATCACCTGAAGTCAGGAGTTCAAGACCAGCCTGGCGAACATGGTGAAACCCCGTCTCTACTAAACATACAAAAATTAGTTGGGCATGGTGGCATGTGCCTGTAAGTTCCAGCTACTTGGGAGGCTGAGGCAGGAGAATCACTTGAACCCAGAAGGCAGAGGTTGCAGTGAGCTGAGACGGCGCCATTGCACTCCAGCCTGGGCAGCAGAGTGAGGGATCTCAAAAAATTATAATAAAAAAATAATAATTCTATTTTGAATTGTGGTAAAATATACATAAAATTTACTACCTTAACCACTTCTAAGTGGCAGTTGGAACAGGGGTCAAGGAGAGCCCTTGGGTTGGGTAATGTAGAGTATATTCACATTGCCATGCAACCAATCTCCGGAACTTTCTCATCTGACAAAACCAAAACTCTATATCCACTAAGCAACTTCCCATTTTCTCCCTTCCCCATGTCCCTGGCAACCCCCGTTCTACCTTCTGTTTCTATTAGTTTGCTTACTCAGTCTGGACGCTTCACATAAGTGAAGGAACACAGTATTTGTCTTTTTCTAACTGGCTTATTTCACTTAGCATAATGTCCTCAATGTTCATCCATGTTGTAGCATGTGTTAGAATTTCCTTCCTTTTTAAGGCTGAAGAATATTTTATTGTATGTATATACCACATTTTATCAATTCATCTGCCTATGGACAATTCGGCTGCATCCATCTTTTGACGAGTGTGAATACCACTGCTATAAATATCAGTGTACAAATATTTCTATGAGACCTTGCTTTCAATTATTTTGGCTATATACCCAGAAGTGATATTGCCGGATCATTTGGTAATTCTATTTTCAATTTTTTGAGAAACTGCCTGTCCTGTGCTGAGCAGGTCTATATAAACCTACCCGCAAAGGCCAAGGAACCTGAGATACCAAAGAAAGAGGCTGACAAATCCAGTTTCTCAGAAAGAAACATTTAATAGGCGTTTATGAACAGAAGGCAAGTCAGGGATGGCACCAAGATAAGATGGTGGATCCCTGTGCCATCACCCCCACCCCCCCGACCCAGGGCTTCTATAGCATAGGGGAAGGGTAATGCGGGCTTCAGCAGGGATGTGTATGGCCAGACACGGTGGCTCACGCCTGCAATCCCAGCTCTTTGGGAGGCCAAGGTGGGCGGATCACCTGAGGTCAGGAGTTCCAGACCAGCCTGGCCAACACGGTAAAACCTCGTCTCTACTAAAAATACAAAAATTAGCCAGGCGTGGTGGCAGGCGCCTGTAATCCCAGTTACTCGGGAAGCTGAGGCAGGAGAATCGCTTGAGCCCAGGAGGTGAAGTTTGCAGTGAGCTGAGATTGTGCCACTGCAGTCCAACCTGGGAGACAGAGTGAGACTCGGTCTCAAAAAATAAAAAATATATTTTTTAAAAAGATAAAATAGAAATCATAGATGAAGTCTTGGAACTGGGATTAATCAGAATATGGCAGATTAGCATCCAAGATGGAATTGCTTTATTCTCATTCAAGGTTTCCCTCATTCTTCACTCTCCCCATGCTGGTCACCTTGCTGTTTGTTCCTCGAACACATATGAAATGCGTTTCTGTCTTGGCAGTCATCCTGCTACCTGTAATGTCAGCACTGCTTTCTGTTGTCCCTTCAGTCAGGTCACTGTTCAAATAGCTCTCTAGACAGGCTCTTCCTTATCATTCTACTTAAAATAGCCCCCAATCACTCTGTGTCCCTTTAGCCTGCTTCCTCTTCCTGCTATTTCATACTACCTGAAAAAATACTTGAACTTCCTAGAACATAAGCTCATAAAAGCAAGAACTGTGCTCCACCTCTCCTCTCCTCTACCCCAGCACTCAGAAGAGAAACAGAGTCAGCATCCAGTGAGTGTTCATGAATCAAGTCACTGCTTGGCAGAATTCAGCACTGGGACCACAGCCTCGCCTATCTTCAACTCTTTCTCCTTCTGCTTTTCCTCCTCCCACTCTAGTAGCCACTCTTCTGGGGGCTTGTCCCTTAAATGATTAGTCCTTACTGACCTATTTTCTGTCCACTTTATCTGTTTTTGAGAGAGGGTCTCACTCTGTTGCCCAGGCTGGAGTGCAGTGGCATGAATATGGGTCACTGCAGCCTCCACCTCCTGGGCTCAAGTGATCTTCCTGCCTCAGCCTGCCATGCCATGTAACTGAGGCCACAGGCATGTGCCACCATGTCCAGCTAATTTCTTGATTTTTTTTTTGGTAGAAATGGGTCTCACTTTATTGCCCAGTCTGGTCTTGAAGTCCTACACTCGAGCAGTCATCTCAACTTGGCCTCCCAAAGTGCTGGGATTACAGGCATGAGATACTGCACCTGGTCTTATTTTTTCTTTTCTTAAGATACAGGGTCTCACCATCTGGCCCAGGCTGAACTCAAACTGCTGAGCTCAAGTAATTCCCCCACCTCAGCCTCCGAAGTAGCTAGGACTAAAGGCATGAAACCACCATGCTTGGCTTGTCCAATTTCATTCTACACACTTTCTTGGTATTTAAACAGCTGCTGTTGCTCTTCATTCTGTAGCTCTACATCAGATTCATGCTCTAGTCCTGTATATCCAAATGATGACTAGAGGCTGCCGGCTCTGCTCTTTCAAAGGCACAATGAGCGTAGCCCGTCTACAAAACTCTCCCTTTTCCAATCCAGCTTTCCCTCCTGCATCACCTATCTCTCTACATCTGGAACCATCGGCAGCTGCCTTCATAAGGCACCTCAGTCTGGCATTCGGAAAACCACCGTCTTGCCAGAGCCTCTTGGTCTTGGGTAGCAAAAGCTGTATGCAATCTAAATCAAGCTTTCAATCATGAGAAATCACATTCCTTCTTTTCCCTTTGTAATATACTCATGTGTTTTTTTTTTTCCTTTCTCAATAAGCAAATTGTACCACCATCTTATTCTGAGATGCTCCTTTTTAAAAGCTGTAGATCACATTAATGGAAGTGGTTACTGCTGGGAATATTTTCCATGTGCAATGATCTGTAACCCTCTTTTTCTTTTTTTTGAGACCGAGTCTTGCTCTGTTGCCCAGGCCAGAGTGCAGTGGCACAATCTCTGCTCACTGCAAGCTTTGCCTCCTGAGTTCATGCCATTATCCTGCCTCAGCCTCCCAAGTAGCTGGGACTACAGGTGCCCGCCACCACGCCCAGCTAATTTTTTTTTTTGAGATGGAGTCTCGCTTGGTCGCCCAGGCTGGAGTGCAGTGGTGCAATCTCAGCTCATTGCAAGCTCCGCCTCCTGGGTTCACGCCATTCTCCTGCCTCAGCCTCCCGAGTAGCTGGGACTACAGGTGCCCGCCACCACACCTGGCTAATTTTTTTTTTTTTTGTATTTTTAGCAGAGATGGGGTTTCACCATGTTAGCCAGGATGGTCTTGATCTCCTGACCTCATGATCCGCCTGCCTCGGCCTCCCAAAGTGCTGGGATTACAGGTGTGAGCCACCACGCCCGGCCATTCCCAGCTAATTTTTTGTATTTTTTAGTAGAGATGGGGTTTCATGATGTTAGCCAGGATGGTCTCAATCTCCTGACCTGGTGATCAGTCCGCCTAGGCCTCCCAAAGTGCTAGGATTACAGGTGTGAGCCACTGCGCCCAGCCTAACTGTAACCCTCTTATCTCAACTAGCTGACGTTATTACTTCACATCCAGTTCAATTTATAAATTAAGAGAGGTGCCATGGGCCTGGTACGGTGGCTCACGCCCGTAATCCCAACACTTTGGGAGGCCGAGGCAGGTGGATCACGAGGTCAGGAGTTCGAGACCATCCTGGCTAACATGGTGAAACCACGTCTCTACTAAAAATACAAAAAATTAGCCAGGTGTGGTGGCAGGCACCTGTAGTCCCAGCTACCTGAGAGGCTGAGGCAGGAGAATGGTGTGAATCCGGGAGGCAGAGCTTGCAGTGAGCAGATATCATGCCACTGCACTCCAGCTGGGGCAACAGAGCAAAACATCGTCCAAAAAAAAAAATAAAAATAAAAATGAAAAAGAGGTGCCATGTGTACAAAAATCAATGCACATTTATGAAATTTTTTTTCAAATATATTTTCACACATTTTATCTAAATACATAATACAGAAGCCTGTGTGACTTGGGCAATGTGGCCAGGAGGGCCTGAGACTAACACATCCACCTTGGCAAAAGGACATAAAATATGTCTTATAGTCAGAAAAATCAACATTTTGTGTATTTACTTAGTTTACGAAAAGTACTGAAAATGCTATTACTAGCTGAATTTGTGATTTCCTTTTGAAATTCTGAGTTATCCTTATTTTTCCCATTTTGTTTTTGCACCAAGGAGACTGCAGTCAAATAAAACAGATACTACACGCACTCGTCGGGGCAGCCGTACTGCAGAAGCACGTTGATGCACTCCTGGCTGGAGGCCTGCCGGGCGTAGGTCAGCGCTGTGTTCCCGTGGGCATCTCGGGCCATGACGTCCACCCCGTACCAGATCAGGAGCTGCTCCAGGACCACATTCCCCTTGCGGCAGGCCAGATGGAGTGCCGTGCAGCCGTCTCCCTCCCCACAGGTCTCGTTCACCTCCTCACGGGAGCCATGTGCCAGCAGCAGGATGGCTGTCTGCAGGTCCTCATCAGCGGTGGCCCGCAGCAGCTGCTGGCCCAGAGACAGCTCAGTGCAGGGTAGTGGGGCCAGAAAGAGCTTCTCCTCATATTTGGAACGGATCCACCGTTCCTTCTCTTCCCTCGTGGACTTTATTGAGGGTTTTGTCTGCCCCTGGCTGCTCCCTTCCCAGATGCTGTTGGCTAGCTCATTGCCAATAGACGACATAACCTTCCTGAGCTCAACTGGCCAGTCATCCAGCTCCAGAGATCGCACACGGGAAAGGCGGGTGCCAAGACTGCGGTGGATACCTGAGCATTCAATACACATGAGGACTCCCAAGTTCAAACTGGCCCACTTAGGATTCTGGGTCTCACAGTCCACACAGTGGGCGTTCCCACGCATGTTTTGGATCGACCGCAGGGCCATGGCCTCACTCTGGCTGGTCAGCTGGGACTTGCTTTTACTGCTCTCGCATGACTGCAGGCTGGCCAGGATCTGGCTCTGGATGGCTTGGACCCAGGCATCCCGCTCCTCATACGTCGTGGCTTCAAAGTGCCACGTTTGGCCAGTGGCAGACACAATCATAAAGTTGTTGGTGCTTTTCTTCTTTAGGTGTTTCTTTTTATTGGCATGAGGAGAGGGGGGTGGGTTGAGCTTGGGGCTGGTGGTGCTGGAGATACTGGGGCTGAAGCATATGGAGTCACCCAGCCCGGTGTCCATGTCCTTGGATAGGCCATTGCTTTTAGAGCTGGAGATGGGTGCACGGGCTGATGTGGCTAGGGATGGCCACTTTCCTGGGACTTTGATGGTAGATGTCCGAAGGTCAATCTCTTTTTTATGAATATTCTTCATATAATCACCTAAGCTTGAATAATAGGTGAGCACGCCATTGGAACACAGGGTGACGTATTTCTTTTTCCATGTCTTCAGCCATTTCCCACTTCGCTTTAAGAGCATGCCCTGTTTAATGGGGATGGCTCTGCCGCTCCCGATGGTGTCAGCATGATTCTCCGGGGCTTTCCTCTCTTTGTCTGGGTCACTCCCTTTCTCAGATGTAAACAGGTTGGACCAGCGCATGGACCGCTTGCAAATGGGGGTGGGTGTGTTGGCAGTGGGAGGAACACTGAACTGAGGGTCCTCCTGGCTGGTGCTGGGAGTCGGTGGAATGGAGGAGGAATAGTTATTTAAACTCCCACCTCCATTTCTTTTCTTCATAATGTGCACGGTGGAAACCTGTGTGGAACAGGAGGAGGAATGGCTTCAAAAATTGGGTAGTGGCTTGCAGGATCCTATAGACAGCTCACAATTACCTTTTAAAAAGATACATTTTCTGGGCCAGGCATGGTGGCTCACACCTGTAATCACAGCACTTTGGGAGGCCAAGGTGGGTGGATCACGAGGTCAGGAGTTCAAGACCATCCTGGCCAACATGGTGAAACCCTGTCTTTACAAAAAAAAAAAAGAAAAAAAAATTAGCTGGGCATGGTGGCACATGCCTGTAATTCCAGTTACTCGGGAGGCTGAGGCAGGAGAATTGCTTGAACAGGGACCTGGGAGGCAGAGCCTGCAGTGAGCCAAGATCGCGCGATTGCACTCCAGCCTGGGCTACAGAAAGAGAGTCCATCAAAAAAAAAAAAAAAAGATACATTTTCTGTTGTTTGGATAGTATATTTACTCATACTAGCTCACTAACTAAACAGAGCTGCAGATCAGTTCTTACTCCAGCACATTCTTTTTACAACACTTAAGATGACTAAATGCAACATGAAATGGGGAAGATTTAAAAAAAGATGGCTTTGACTTCAGCATGAAACAGATACAAGTGTACGATGAAAATACAACCTCAATAAAAGTGCCACTTACCGCAAATGAGTGTAACTGTTCATCAGGTATGCTCAAAGATCTATCTGCATCTCTATAAAATAAGAAAGTGCATTACTTCAAAAACTGTTAATATCTTAGTATAATATTTGTTGAGTAAAATACTTCCTCCTGTGTGCTTTGGTGTTTACTTTACCAAAGCAGTTTTTACGAATTCTTCTCCTGGATCCTGACTTGCAGAGGGTTTCCTGACTTCTTCTTTCTCAGCACATCATGGTCTGTACCGTGAAGCCTTTTATATGATAACCAGTCAGAAATGCCCATGAGTATTGACTCTCCCTAACAGGCCATGGCAATAAACCAAACATATTTTCACTCTTCTAACCACACATTGAAACACAAGAATGTTCTACAAAGCAGTAGTAGTAAACTTTAATAAATGTAAATGTGATTCAGATTTCCTAGCTTCCTTTCTCTTTAGTTCTCTGTAGTATACTCTCATGATGTTTTTATGTATTTTCTGTTGTCTGAATGACAAACTCATCTACCTTTTTAAGAGGCCAGTCTTTGAGGAACTTTAAACTTTGTAAAACTAATGCATTGTGCCTGTGTATAAACCAGTGGTTCTCCAAATGTGCTCTGTGGACCTCTCGGGATCCCGAAGACCTCTTCCAGAAGGCCTAAGAGCTCATAACTGTTCTTTTTTTTTTTTTTTTTTTTTTTTTTTTTTTTTTTTTTTTGAGACCAAGTTTTACTCTTGTTGCCCAGGCTGGAGTGCAATGGTGCGATCTCTGCTCATGGCAACCTTCGCCTCCCAGGTTCAAGTGATTCTCCTACCCCAGCCTCCCAAGTAGCAGGGATTACAGGCACCTGCCACCACTCCTGGCTAAGTTTTGTATTTTTAGTAGAGATGTGGTTTCACCATGTTGGCCAGGCTGGTCTTGAACTCCTAACCTCAGGCGATCCACTTGCCTCGGCCTCCCAAAGTGCTGGGATTACAGGCCTGAGCCACTGTGCCTGGCCAACACTGTTCTGAATCATACTAATTAAACCTGAGAAAGCTGATGAAAAATTTTAAAAATTTGTGAAAGTAATACAAAGTCATTGCCTGCTTTTTCGTTGACACTTGCCATGATTGTATAAAAGCAAAAGTAGGTACAATGGCTGGTTTCTCAGCATAAATCAAGGCAGTGGTACCAATTACATTAGTAGTCATTCTATTCTTCACTGTCCCCTACAGGTAAAAAACATAGCCTGAATTTCTTAAGAACGTCTTTGATGAAGCAATAAAAATTAATGTTGTTAAATCTTGACATGTCTCTAATATTCTGAATAAGTGGAAAGTTAATGAGAAGTGCTTTTTTTTTTTGTTTTTAAAGAATCCGTGATTTAACTGTGAACTGAAAAATCACTTTTTTCACAGAACATCATTTTTATTTAAAAGTACAACTGGGCCAGCGCAGTGGCTCACGCCTGTAAAATCCCAGCACTTTGAGAGGCCAAAGCAGGCAGATGGCCTGAGCTCCTTCAGGAGTTCGGGACCAGCCTAGGCAACATAACGAAACCGTGTCTCTATCAAACATATAAGAAAATTAGCCTGGCGTGGTGCCACACATCTGTGGTCCCAGCTACACAGGAGCCTGAGGTGAGAGGATTGCTTGAGCTGAGATCATGCCAATGCACTCCAGCCAAGTGACAGAGTGAAACTCGGTCTAAAAAACCAGTTCAACTATCATTCTCAAAAATAAATGAAGTGAGAGGTTGTCACTTCAAGGGAAATACATATTTGTTCCCAATGATAAAATTTAAGCTTTCCTGTGGACTTTGAAAAACTTGTTCCTTCTACTGTAGGCTTGGCAGCTTTTCAATACTTAAAGGCGTGTTAAAGTAAGATTGGTGGTTAAACTAAAAGTGATTTTTGACACAATAAAACATAAACCAATATATTCCAAGTAACTAATGCATGATATTATAAATGCAAGTATGGAGCAAAAGATCCATTTACTGTGCAAGAAAGATCAATGAGTACTGATGGAATAAATTTATTAATATGTAAAATGCCACCGTAACTAATTTAAGAAACCACCACTTGTGAAGTTTTGATTTAGTGTTTTAACAAATACCCACAACTGTCTGAAAACTTTAAAAATACACCTTCTACCAACTACATATTTGCATGAGGTTAGGTCATCTTATTGCTTCTTTTTCTCTTTTTTTGAGACAGAGTCTCTCTCTGTCACCCAGGCTGGGGTGCAATGGCGAGATCTCGGCTCACTGCAACCTCCACCTCCCAGGCTCAAGCGATTCTCCTGCCTCAGCCTCCCAAGTAACTGGGACTACAGGCATGCACCACCACGCCCAGCCATTTTTTGTACTTTCAGTAGAGGCGGGTTTTACCATGTTGGTCGGGCTGGTCTCAAACTCCTGACCTCAAGTGATCCACCCACCTCGGCCTCCCAAAATGCTGGGATTACAGGTGTGAACCACTGCGCCCCACCAGCTTGCTTTTTTTGTTTGTTTGTTTAGACAGAGTCTTGCTCTGTCACCCAGGCTGCAGTGCAATGGCACCATCTCAGCTCTCTGCAACCTCCGCCTCCCAAGTTCAAGCAGTTCTCCTGCCTCAGCCTCCAGAATACGTGGGACTACAGGTGCGTGCCACCATGCCCAGCTAAGTTTTTGTATTTTTAGTAGAGACGGGGTTTCGCCGTGTTAGCCAGGATGGTCTCGATCTCCTGACCTTGTGATCCGCCCGCCTCAGCCTCCCAAAGTGCTGGGATTACAGGCGTGAGCCACTGTGCCCAGCCTCATATTGCTTCTTTGAAGCAAATTGCAAAGAAAGCTCTAGAGAATCCATTTGTCTCCTATTAAGCTCAACATGAGAGACTTTAAATAATATAAACAAATGACACACTTTTTACTCAACTTTTTGTTGTAGAAAAGTTTTTTTTCAATGAAAAACTTCTGTTAACAATACTGTTCTCAAGGAATATTTTCTGTTTTTATAACCTGGGTCATGGGTTACTACTGACATCTAGTTGGTAGAGGCCATGAATACTGCTAAACTCTCTGCAATGCACAAGACAGTCCTCACAACAAAGCATTATCTAGCCCATAATATCAACAGTGGTAAGGCTGTGAAATCTAAACTAAAAATAGATTTTGAAAAAATTTCAATTGTATAATTCTACCACACTAAATATCAATATAATCAATATAAACATATACTCTTTGAGATTCTCAATCATTTAAGAATTATGAGAGTCTTAAGGAACAAAGAAAATACAAATAATTTGCTTCGATATTTTAGTAGGCACAATACAGCTTATGATGTCTAGAGCTGTGACCTAACACTGAGCTTGATATCTTGCAAAGTAATTAGCTAGAATAACAAGACAGGTTTCTAAAAAGCTCACCTTTGTGTGATATGATGAGGTATCTCCAAGGTCACACTGTGGAAGGAAAAAAAATTCATAACAATAGATGTTATCATTTGTTAGGCCTGAAGACATTTTTTAAAAGGGGGGCAGAGGAAACTCTCCTAGCGGCCCTGAAATTCAAATCTTCTAGTTCAGAACAGTACCATAAGGGCACTTTGTTTTCATTTCTTTGTTTTTTACAAAAATATGAGAACCAAAATGCAAGGAAATATGCCGTTAGAAGACGCGTTTCTGTTGGTGATTACAATATATAAATAATAACAGATTTCCCTTTTATATGCTTTTCTACCGATGAAACCTTTCGTCCCATGCGATTTATTTTATGTATTTATTTATTTTTTGACCCAGAGTCTGTCTCTCTTGCTCAGACTGGACTGCAGTGGTGCCATCTTGACTCCTCACAACCTCCACCACCCAGGTTCAAGCGATTCTCACGCCTCAGCCTCCCAAGAAGCTGGGACTACAAGTTTGCGCCACTATGCCCAGATAATTTTTTTTTTTGGGGGGGTGGTGGGTGGAGTTTCGCTCTTGTTGCCCAGGCTGGAGTGCAATGGTGTGATCTCGGCTCACCACAACCTCTGCCTCCCGGGTTCAAGAGATTCTCCTGCCTCAGCCTCCCAAGTGGCTGGGATTACAGGCATGTACCACCACACCCAGCTAATTTTGTAGAGTGAGGCTCAAAACAACTGAGGGAAGGTAAATCTCAATTCTACTAATAGGTCTACACAATATTAGCACTTTTTAAAAAGCCTGTAACATTAGCATGTGAGATGGATATGTCTATAGTGCTTCAAGTAGTTTTCATCTCTGAAATAATTTTAAAATCACAGAATTTAAAGTTACATGCTGGAAAGGACCAATGACCTTATGTGACATTTAATTCAACACTTGTTTTACAGATCAGGGAAACAAACCTTAAAACTGACTTGCCCAAGGTCCCACCAAATAGGAGCAGTTTCTCGTCCTAAACTCAAATTAAGCAGTGGCTCTCAAACTTTGCTGCACATTAAAATCACCTGAGAAGCTTTAATATCTGCCTCATCTTCCACATGAGACATTTTAATTTAATTAGTATTGGGTATGGCTTTGGGCATCAAGGTTCTTGGTAAACGTTTCCCAGGTGATTTCAATCAGCAGCAAAGTTTGGAATGATTGAGCTGGGGTGAAAATCAGAATCTTCTGGGATGCTTTTCTTCACAGAAAGATGCCTCACATCCATCCCGATTTTCCTAAAAGGCTTCTCAGTGCCTAGAGATAGAGGGAAAGTGGAGATGGGAAGATACATGTATTTGCAGACTTGCATTTTGAAAAAAACCTTGCATAAGTGATCTCAGCGAGTTCCACCTATCCCACTGACAACAGTGCACTACTGATTCATGATAAAACATTTTTCAAAATATCTTCTTGAAGCCAATTTGCCCTATTAATTTGTTCAATAACTTTATTTCACCAATAGTGAATACACCAAATGATCATTTCTCAAACTTGCTGGTGGCAAATTAAAACTTACTATACTCTCAAAAGTAGACTTCTAAAAAGTAGAATAATGAGGAAAAAAGCACGAAATTTGTTTCAGCAAAATTAATCTTCAAAGCTGCTTTTGAATTATATGCTAACTTATCAAAATCTTTGGAACTCAGAAGAAGCCAGGGACTCTAGTCAAAGTAATTTTTGTGTATGTGTGCTCAAAGATTTAAGAGACTTGGCTGACTACAGACATTTAGTGATTACTCAATAGGTCCCAAAGCTCAGGACTTGAGACAGAGTTTGAGTTCAGTTTTTGTTTGAAACACAATTTCCTCTCAACTATTGTTAAAAGGGAGGGAGGAAAGTGACATTATTATGAGTGTAAACTTGCCACTTTTAATTGAAGTAAAAGTTATTGACAATTGAATTAGCTAAAAAGGCTAGTGCATTTGAAACAAAATTGTTTATAAGCTAGTTATGTTTACAGAATGAAAAGTTAAATTAAAGATAAAGACATTAATATTCTAAATTAGCACTTTCCAAACTGTGTTCTAAAAATCAAGACTAATAACCCAAGGAGATGAGAATAATGTACACTGGACGGCCCCTGTGGAGCTGGTGGTGGTGTTGGTTGTTGTTCCTTTTAAAATAAACTTCATCTCAGGGTGCTCTCAAAGCGCATCGTGGTCCACGAGGTGCTCATGCACAATGGGAGAAATTCAAATGCAGATACACTGTGGTGCCAGAAGAAGAAAAGCTGTTCCTTCTTCCAAGGATAATGTCCAAAGTAGTGCACACTGATTTGGGCCTATGATGCATTGAAAAACTAAGTTTCCACAAAAAACATTCAATAAAGGGAACCTATCCTTCTCACTGTGTTCAACATTGTCTAAAGGCATAAAGGCATCAAAAAGACACACTGTTTCTGGGTTTGCTTCTTTGCTAACTGATTTTTCCTTCCACCACGACGTCTAAGATTAAAAGAGAAACTGATACTTAATATTGAGAATCTGGATATCAATATATGGTTGACTCCAATTTCTTAAGCTGATTGCTGAAGAGGACAACCAAATGGCTGAAATAATTTCCGAATAAAGGAATCTGTCCCTCGGCAGCATAGTTGTACTCACGATATTATTGTCATTGTAAGATAATGCTGGATGGCTGTGCTGTCATCAAGGAATATTGTCGAACACGAGCTGTATTGTTGACTGAAACGCTCAGTAGATACCTGAAGGGGAAGGGAAGTGTAAGTCAAACTTATCAAAGTGTATTTTTTTCTCAGTTAAAATGTCAAATGACAAAGCACTAAGATATGTCTTACACTCCATGAACTGCCTGAGTGTGGTATCATGTGCACTCTATAGAAAACACATTGGAGGCTCTCAACTTCCAGAGATGATGTTTAAGATATGGGTTATAAAATGCTGCCCTTAATATGGTACCTGTCATCAAACCTAACAAGGATTTTATGAATTACCGTTAAAAATAATGGGAAAAGTCGGCTTCGCCGGGCGCGGTGGCTCACACCTGTAATCCTAGCACTTTGGGAGGTGGAGGCGGGCAGATCACGAGGTCAAGAGATCGAGACCATCCTGGCTAACATGGTGAAACCCCGTCTCTACTAAAAATACAAAAAATTAGCCGGGCGTGGTAGCAGGCCCCTGTAGTCCCAGCTACTCGAGAGGCTGAAACAGGAGAATGGGGTGAACCCAGGAGGCAGAGCTTGCAGTGAGCCGAGTTCGCGCCACTGCACTCCAGGCCGGGAGACAAAGTGAGACTCCGTCTCAAAAAAAAAAAAAAAAAAGAAAGAAAAGTTTAAAATGAGATTTCATATTTTTTTCTACAGCAATAAAAAGCAGCCAAGAATTTCTATTAATTAATTAATTAATTTATTTATTTATTTATTTATTTTTGAGACGGAGTCTCGCTCTGTAGCCCAGGCTGGAGTGCAGTGGTGCGATCTCGGCTCACTGCAAGCTCCGCCTCCCGGGTTCACGCCATTCTCCTGACTCAGCCTCCTGAGTAGCTGGGACTACAGGTGCCCGCCACCATGCCCGGCTAACTTTTTGTATTTTTAGTAGAGACGGGGTTTCACCGTGTTAGCCAGGATGGTCTCGATCTCCTCACCTCGCGATCTGCCTGCCTCAGCCTCCCAAAGTACTGGGATTACAGGCGTGAGCCACGGCGCCCAGCCCTTCTATTATTTATTTACTACGATAAAATGTAGTGTATTAAATAATCCTGCTACAAGAGCATTTTATTGCAGTGAATACAAGATTAATGCATTTACTAAATTACTAATCCTAAATGTATTATTTCAGGTGATATTGTTACAAAAGAAGTGTTTCAGATTCAGGGGCTCTGTGTGCCAGGGCTGCTAGGCCACCAACAAGTGAGGAAGCCATAGGTTTCTCTAGTCCTATTTTCTTATGTGGAGGATAAAAAGAGTATCACTTAAATATTCTCTCACACCCTAAAAACAAATGACAACTTAAAAAATCTAACTTTCACTTCATGTTTAAATAAGACTGCCAAGACATGACTCAAATGAGACTCTTGGAGAATACTTTGCATTCACTTCAAAACTTGATCAATTGCATTCTATAAATCATCTGACCTGCACCTAGCCATTTTCCTGCTCTACCCCTGCTCTCTGCCTAGAATACTGCTTTTCTCTTTCCTTGCTTCAGCAAGCTCGACTCCATCTACCCTCTTGGATCTCTTTGTCGGCAGCCACACCAAAAAATGTATTTTTATACACTAATTAGTTGAATTCACCACTGCTTACAAGATGCTAATTGCTGCAGAGTATTCCCCTCATGAGAAAGTATGCCTCTCCATAAGAGTAAGGGAGGGCCCTTACTCTTCCTACCTCCAGCTGCTGAGCATAGAATTTTGAGTAAATCCAAAACTTCGACAAGTGTTTGACAATTCAGTCATCATTTGGAAGGTAAGTCTTACTACATTTAATTACAGCAAAAACACTACTAACAGTTTACTCTTTATAGGTATTATTTAAGGTAGTCACAAAATAGAAACAAATAATCTAACGTCAGTCAGCATAAATGAGAGTATGAAATTTTACAATATTTAACAAGAAATGGAAGGGGTTACTTAGTAGTTTTAAGGTTTAATGACAAAAACTAGAAAATAATCGTACCTAGTAATTTAGTAAGTCAAAACCAAAGCCTTACCATCAAAGGTGCAGTACCCATTGGATGCGGATGCCCACGCACTGACTTCTGCTGTACCTGCTGCCTCTCATTTTAACCCATTAAAAATACTAAAGTTGTTTTCCTTGTAGACATCTTTCACCTCCTTGGTTAGGTCTATTCCGAAGTATTTTATTTTATTTTAGTTTATTTTTGCAGCTATCAGAAAAGGGGTTGAGTTCTTGGTTTGATTCTAAGCTTGGTCGCTTCTGGGGTATAACAGAGCTACTGATTTGTGTACATTAATTTTGTCTCCTGAAACTTTGCTGAATTCATTTATCGGTTCTAGGAGCTTTTTGGAGGAGTCTTTAGGGTTTCCTAGGTATATGATCATATCATCATCAAACAGCAACAGTTTGACTTCCTCTTTACTGATCTGCATGCCTTTTATTGTTTTCTCTTGTGTGATTGCTCTGGCTAGGCCTTCCAGTAGTATGTTGAATACAAGTGGTGAGAGTGGGCATCCTTGTCTTGTTCCAGTTCTCGGGGGGAATGCTTTCAACTTTTCCCCCTTTCAGTATTATGTTGGTTGTGGGTTTGTCATAGATGGCTTTTATTACATTGAGCTATGACCCTTGTATGCTGATTTTGCTGAGGGTTTTAATCATAAAAGGATGCTGCATTTTGTCAAATGCTTTTTCTGCATCTGTTAAGATGATCATGTGATTTTTTGTTTTTAATTCTGTTTATGTGGTGTATCACATTTATTGACTTGTGTATGTTAATCCATCCCCGCATCCCTGGTATGAAACCCATTTGATCATGGTGGATTATCTTTTTTTTATTTTTTGAGATGGAGTCTCGCTCTGTTGCCCAGGCTGGAGTATGCAATGCGGTGATCTTGGCTCACTGCAACCTCTGCCTCCGAGGTTCAAGCGATTCTCCTGCCTCAGCCACTCGAGTAGATGGGATAACAGGTGAGCGCCACCACGCCCGGCTAACTTTTGTATTTTTAGTAGAGATGGGGTTTCACCATGTTGGCCAGGCTGGTCTCGAACTCCTGACCTCATGATCCGTCCGCCTCAGCCTCCCAAAGTGCTGGGATTACAGGTGTGAGCCACCGTGCCTGGCCCGATTATCTTTTTGATATGCCGTTGGGAACTACAAAACATTGCTGAATGAAGTCATGGACACAGACAAATGGAAAGACACCCCATGCTCATGAATGGGTAGAATGAATATTGTGAAAATGACCATACTGCCAAAAGCAATCTACAAATTCAATGCAACTCCCATCAAAATACCACCATCCTTCTTCACAGAACTAGAAAAAACAATCCTGAAATTTATATGGACCAAACAAGAACCGGCACAGCCAAAACAAAACTAAGCAAAAACAACAAATCTGGAGGCATGACATTACCTGATTTCAAACTATACTATAAGGCCATAGTCGCCAAAATAGCACGGTACTGATATAAAAATAGGCACATACACCAATGGAACAGAATAGAGAACCCAGAAATAAACTCAAATACCTATAGCCAACTGATTTTCAACAAAGCCACCTAAAACATAAAGTGAAGAAAGTAAACCCTATTCAACAAATGGTGCTGGGATAATTGGCAAGCCACATGCGGGAGAATGAAACTGGATCCTCAACTCTCACCTTACACAAAAATCAACTCAAGATGGATCAAGGACATAAATCTATGACCTGAAACCATAAAAGTTCTAGAAGATAACATTGGAAAAACCCGTCTAGACACTGGCTTGGGCAAAGACTTCATGACCAAGAACACAAAAGCAAATGCAACAGAAACAAATAGGTGAGACTTAACTAAAGAGCTTCTGCACAGGAAAAGGAACAATCAGCAGAGTATACAGACAACCACAGAGTGGGAGGAAATCTTCGCAGTCTATACATCTGACAAAGGGCTATTATCCAGAATCTATGAGGAACTCAAACAAATTACAATTACAAAAATATGGAACCAGCCCAAATGCCCATCAGTCAATGAGCGGATAAAGAAACTGTGATATACATACATATTATATATATATATATATGAGGAATACCACCTCAGCCATAATAAGGAATAAATTCATGGCATTCCCAGCAACCTGGATGGAAGCAAGACTATTATTCTAAGTGAAATAACTCAGCATGGAAAACCAAATATCATGTTCTCTTTCCTACGTGGGAGCTAAGCTATGAGGATGCAAAGCCATAAGAATGATACAATGGACTTTGGGGACTTGGGGGAAAGGCTGGGAGGAGGGTGAGGGATAAAAGACTACAAATTGGGTTCAGCGGATACTGCTCAGGTGATGGGTGCACCTAAATCTCACAAATCATCACTAAAGAACTTAGTCATGTCACCAAATGCCACCTGTTCCCCCAGAAACCTATGGAAATAATAAATAAATAAATAAAGTACAGCATTTTTCTCAGCAAACATAAAATAAAACAAAGACTAAAGTTCATATTTTTCACTCTCCTTTTGGGCAGGACAAATTTTAGATAGGTTTTTAAAGAATTAGTAACTTTTTTCCTTTTTCCGAGACAGGGTCTCCCTTTGTTGCCCAGGCTGGAGTGCAGTGGTGCAATTATAGTTAACTGCAGCCTCAAACTCCTGAGCTCAGGTGATCCTCTGCCTCAGCCTCCTGAGTAGGTAATATGAAAGGCGCATGCCACGAGGCCTGGCTAATTTGTTATTTAACCTTTTTGTAGACATGAGGTCTTGCTATGTTGACCAGGCTAAAAATGAACAAATCTTAATTAACTTAAATATTTCTAACACCTTGGGCATTCAGGAAAACAGCTCCATTTATGTTGTGAAGTAATGGGAAGCATATGGCAGTGGATAAACTTTGAATGAAAATATTAAACAAGGCCTTAGGAGAAAAGTGTAATATGCTTATTATAGATACATTAATTTAAAAAATTCTCTGGCTTAATATCATTATACTCAAATTAGACTTTGATTTAAACATAGGTCCTAAATTTGGATTAAATATAATAGATTGACCACAAATTTATTTCGTCTCCCTCTGGAAGCCTCATTAGTCATAAAATAAAGGTTACACCCATGACCAGCACAGAAGGTTGACAGAGATAATTTTTAGTAAATGCTGAGACATAAAAAGTAGACAAAGGAGTGGTAAATAACACAGAAACACAACTTTGCTGACTACAGAAAGTGACTGGAACAGAAGCGAGCCAGTTTGTCTTGCAGAACTAAAGGCAGGTTGTGAACTTACAGGCAAATGGCACTTTGGAAAGTAGGGTAAAATGTAAAAAAAAAAAGCCAGCAAGGTCAGTTGCAAATCTCTAACTAGAGCCCAAAGTCTACCTGTCCTTCCATCTGACAAGAAACTTAGATGTGTGTTCTCTGGATATATCAAACCTGAGAATTTCTGGCTCAGAGATACTATGGCTTAAACCTGAGATATAAAGAAAACTGTACACCAAAAATGGAACTCCAACTTTCTTTGCTAACTCTGCTTTTCCTTTCCAGGCAGAAAATTGGGAGATCCTTCTCAGAAGAAACTGAAATGTCTTCAGTAAAGATCCCCAGATAATACACTGAGGTCTCCCAAATGAAAAGCTAGTCAGGCTTCTAAGGCCTCACACTGAGTGCTATCAGTTAACAGAAATCCTGCTTCCAAATAAAGCAGGCCAGGGACCACCACACATTGGAGGGAAGCCTCCAAGAAAAGAGATCAAAACAATAGAAAAAAGGAATTGATAGGACCAGTCAAAATCAGGAGCAAAACTTTAAAAAAAAATCTTAAAACACTCTCAAAAAATATAAAATTCAATAGAAATAGTAGAGGATAAAGTCACAGAATATCCCAGAACTAGAATAAAAAGACAAACTGAAAAAAATAGAAGGGGAAAAATTAAAAATCAATGCAGGTGTACTGGTCTAAGCAGCCTAGCATCTGAAGAACAAGACTATCAGTAAAAAAGTAACAGAGAAAATAAAAAAAAAATTCTCAAGAAGAGATAGTCTGCAGGTTTAGTAGCCTCAATAAAATGAAAAGATCCCCAACAAGCTGTTATAAAATTTCAGAACCTTAGAGAGAGAGATTCTAAAAAGCTTCCGCAGATAACTAAAACCTGGTTGTAAATAACATATCACACACTGGCAATAGATTCAAGAACAACACTGTAATAAGAGCACAACTGCAAAATGTCTTCAGAACCATACAATTTAGATTCAACCTAGAGGTGTACTCTCTATCAAAGAGGAGGGATTTTAACATCTCCACCCAGGAAAATGTGTTCAAGTACAACTAGAGACGATAACAGGACAGAAGGAAACACAGAATCTAGGACTCAGGCGATCCCACACAAGACAGCAGTTACGTGAGATCCCAAAAGACTTTAAGGAGTTAGCCCAGAAAAGCAGACATCGAGCATATCTAGGGAAACCCACGCTATATTGAACTAGGATGACAAAAGGCCAAAGAAAGTTGCCCCCCACACACACATAAAAAGGAACAGATGTGTTTTTGCAGATGGAAAATATCTTTGAAAGGCATGTGATAAATGCTACAATACTTGGGGGAAAAACAGCTGTTAGAAAATAGGCAAATGAATATAGTCAGAAAATTAGCTTCATGCTAAAAAATAATGGATGTGAAAGCAAACAGAGCACCCAGAGGCTACTTAATGATATTTGGATAGATAAACTAACATAGGCTAGGAAAAAAGAAGATCCAGGAGAATTGCAGAAGTGCTCAGATTTCAGAACTGTTTCAGAGACAGGATGAAGGACATGGAATGCAGAGGCACAGTGAAAACACCATATGACTTAGCAGTGAATAATATTTGCAGAGTCATAATCATGTAAATATTACTGATTTAATTAAAAAGTGTGCTACAATTGGAAGAAACACAGGGAGAAACATAAGATCATGGTGTAGCGAGGAAGATACGCTTTTACCCGCTGTGATAGAAAGTCAATAGACAGTGCTGGCAATTAACTTAACTATTCTATTTTTGTTCTTTCA
Organism: Homo sapiens; assembly: GCF_000001405.40. Taxonomy (NCBI): domain Eukaryota; kingdom Metazoa; phylum Chordata; class Mammalia; order Primates; family Hominidae; genus Homo; species Homo sapiens. Next base: position 243,597 of record NW_021160001.1, read on the forward strand.
TTAAAAATAAGATTAAATATTTAAGGCACTTTTTTTTTTTTTTTTTTTTTGAGACAGAGTTTCGCTCTGTCGCCCAGGCTGGAGTGCAATGGCACGATCTTGGCTCACTGCAACCTCCGCCTCCTGGGTTCAAGTGATTCTTCTGCCTCAGCCTCCTGACTAGCTGAGATTACAGGCATGCACCAGCACGCCCGGCTACTTTTGTATTTTTAGTAGATACAGAATTTCACCATGTTGGTCAGGGCTGTCTCAAACTCCTGACCTCAGATGATCAGCCTGCCTTGGCCTCCTAAAGTGCTGTGATTACAGACGTTAGCCACCATGCCCAGCCTTAAGGCAGATCTTTTGAACCAGACTATTGAAATTTAACTTAAATGTCAGAAATCTTTAAAAGGTGGACACGCTAAGCTAAACACTTTTCTGGATAAATTTAATACTCAGGAAAATAGAAGAGATTTAGAAAATCCACAAAAAGAGGTCCATGCTACCACCACCAGGTCCACATTGTAATTTAAAGAAATCAAGAGAGACATCCTTTTATGTCAAACTATCAATTTCTTAACTATTTGAGTGTTTACTTACATGGTTTGTACAGTTGCTTCTTCTTATTTCTACAACTAAGAATAAAAAAAAAAAAAAACTGGTCACTTCTGATACAAATACCATAAAATAAAAGTAGTTGTTAACATCTTACTGATTACTCCTATGTAAAATGAGACAAAATTCCATTTAAAAAAATAATTTTCAATAATTTATAATTTAAATTATCTGGCATGATTAATTTCATAAGTCAAATCTAAAAACTTAGTTTTTCATTTAGTTTACTTTTTGTTTCTATTACATACAAATGAAAGAATCCTCATGTACAAAAGAAAAGGGTAAAAAAATTAGGCCAGATGAAAAATTTAGCTAATAAAAAGTTTAACTGTTGCATATATGAGCCATGATCCATTAGTATTCTCTCATTCTGCATTTACACATAGCTTACTTTAATTATCAGACTCTAAGAGCTAACAGCTCTAAGAACTACGTCCTGACCAGACACCTATCTCTAGATGCAACAGAATCCCTGTAAGCATCTTGAACCACACTTAGTGGTTATCTACTAATATGTCACTAAAAACAAATCAAAATTAAAAAACGGTCTTTACACAACTGGAAAGTAACGTATCTTAATTTTTTTTTTTTTGAGATGGAGTCTCACTCTGTCACCTAGGCTCGAGTGCAGTGGTGGGATCTCAGCTCACTGCAACCTCTGCCTCCCAGGTTCAACCAATTCTTCAGCCTTAGCCTCCTGACTAGCTGGGACTACAGGCACGTGCCACCATGCCTAGCTAATTTTTTTTTGTATTTTTAGTAGAGACAGAGTTACACTGTGTTAGCCAGGATGGTCTTGATCTCCTAACCTCGTGATCCACCCACCTCAGCCTCCCAAAGAGCTGGGATTACAGGTGTAAGCCACAGAGCCTGGCCTAAATTTTGATGTTAAAATGAGTATACAAACCTAATTGGACATGGTGTCTGCAGCTCAAAAAATCATTTTTTTTCCTCTAAAAAGAGGCCAGAATAATAAAAGCCCCAAGAGGGACTTGGGCCATGCTTTGTTTCCTACACTGCCTCTGCCTTTGATGCTGGAAGGGCCTTGTAGGCAAAAGTTCCTACCACCGAAGAGTGAGGGACATGGAATAGCTTTTCTTTTACTGCTTCCATGCTCTCTAGGTGTGAGAAGCCCATGGCTCTGGAAGGAACTGGGAAATACAATTCTGATATGTTTTGGATATGTTGCCCCTCCAAGTCTCATGTTAACATGTGACCCTTAATGTTGGAGACAGGGCCTAGTGGGAGGCGTTTGGGTAATGGCAGTGGATTCCTTATGAATGGCTTGGTCCCATCCCCATGGTAATAAGCAAATTCTCATTATGGTAATTTAAAAGACTGTGGTACTGGCCAGGTGCGGTGGCTGAAGCCTGTAATCCCAGCACTTTGGGAGGCTGAAGCGGGTAGATCACTTGAGGTCAGGAGTTTCAGACCAGCCTGGCTAACATGGTGAAACCCTGTCTCTACCAAAAATACAGAAATTAGCCAGGTGTTATGGTGCCCACCTATAGTCCCAACTACTCGGGAGGCTGAGGCAGGAGAATTGCTTGAACCTGGGAGATGGAGGTTGTAGTGAGCCAAGATCGTGCCATTGCACTCCAGCCTGGGCAACAGAGTGAGACTCCATTTCAAAAAAAAAAAAAAAAAGAGTGTGGTACCTTCCCCCTTCCCCTCTCTCTTTCACCGTGTGGAACCACCTGCTTCCCCTTTGCCTTTTATCATGATTGTAAGTTTGCTGAGGCCCTCACCAGAAGCAGATGTTAAAGCCATGTTTGTACAGCCTGAAAATCTTTGAGCCAATTAAACCTCTTTTTTGTTATAAATTACCCAGCCTTAGGTATCTCTTTATAGTAATGTAAAAAATGAAGACAAATTCTAACCAGAAATAACTGACTCAAGATGGGCAAAGTCTACTCAAACTATAAAAACAAAGGTTACAAACTCCCGTGTTTTACTGTGCTGCATTACTTCGCACACTATTATAGAACCCTCACTTGTATTCTTGCTGTTTAAGTCAACTGGAAAACTTGGCTGTGTATGGCTTGTTGGCAAATAAATGAGGATTTAACATAACATTAGGGAAATAAGCAGGAGTAGGGCATGTTTAAATTTACATGACATCAAATGAAAAAGTTAATAACCTAAAACTTTTGAGTAGCATGAACTTGGATGTGGTAAATGAATGTGGTCAGAGGACTGTGTAAGAGGAGGCCCAAATCACAGATTCAATCCCTGATGATAAACAACTATGTTTTTTAATTTGTTTAAATGAAAACCAAGCTGAAGCCTAAGTTCTATCATTCATCTTTAAAGTGTACTTTTTGGAGCAAGGGAAAAGGGATTATAAATAAAGATAAATCCATTAATTATAAATAAAGATAAATCCAAGAATTATAAAGAGAAATCCATGACTCCTCCAACACATGACAAATTAATTGTGTTGATAAAAAGATGGCAAAATGTATAAACAAAAAGGTTACACGTTTTCACTAACATCATAACAACTAAAGGAAAGTATATCACATATTAAAATAAGACAAGTGAACATGTGAAAAGGTGAAAAATTTAAACCAATATGAGTTTTTCTAAATACTTTCTATAACCTGATCAAACAAGAGCTTTTATTCTTTCTCTTGGCGGAAAAAACAATGTTGTCTCACCATCTGTTTGAGAGTTCCTCTGGAATATTGTGCTTGCCTCTGGATTGGCAGAAGGGTTAAACTCCAAAGCTATATGCATAGAGGAAGAAAAGAAAAAGAGATGCAATCATTGATAAAAATTTATCAACTCGTTTATTCGGCTGCTGCATTTAGGCTATTTCACTATCTCTACTTTGATTCTTATCCATTGAAATGAATGTATAGACATAAGATAGAGCCAGGCAAGATGGCACATGCTTGTAGTCCCAGCTACTCAGGAGGCTGAGATGGGAAAATCACTTGAACCCAGGTCAGGAAGTTGAGGCCAGCATGAGTAACACAATGACACCCTCCTTTATTTAAAAAAAAAAAAAAAAAAAAAAAAAAAGAGGTAAATTTTGGCTTTGAGTTGTGTAAAATCAACTTTGCATAAAATAAATCAAGATGGCAGTAAGTTTTAAAAGACAGTCTATTTTATAGGCAAAATATAAGATGTATTCTAGAGTTTTTAAAATTTTTAAAAAGTAAATTCATCATATCTGTCACTTCCATTTCATTCTGAGGACACAGAACCTTAGTTCTCTTGAGTAGCTGTCTTCCATAGTCATGTGATATCTCTAAGTTTTCATTTCTTCATTAGCAATACATAGGGAGAACATACACAGGCCTTATTTGTATTGGAAAGGGCCAAGTGAGACATACATAAACTGTGTTGTAATCCTAAAGAATGACAATAAAGAGCCATTTTTGGGCTCTCATCCAACACTACCCATCTACTAACTGGTGTGTAACATCCATCAGGCTTTCCGAACTTCACCAAGCAGAGTATAAGTTTATACAAGTACTTACATGCTTTGTGTATAAAGGTACAATCAATTAATTCACATAATGCATTTGTTTATTCTAAAGCAATCCTTAAATATCTTGAAATGTGAAGATAGTACTTCCAAGTTACAAAGTCACACTCATAATGAGTCTTAATTATCCTACCTCTTTAAAAATTAAGAGCCCAACCAAAGTTTAAATAGAAGAGCTATAAGACATTTCCTCTACAGTAATGAAATCTCTGGCATTTAAATGAAACCAATAAGCCAACTGGATTTAATATGTTTATGATGCAATGTTTTCTATTTTGAAAATTTCAGTTTTTATTCAAGAACCATATTATTACCCAGAATTACTTTTACTTAGATTCATCTCTTTGCAAAATTTTAGAGGCAAACCAACTAATTGTTTTCTGTTTTCTACCGGCTCCCATCCCCTGCCTCTGCCAACAGTGTAGAGACTAAAAAACTCCAACTCTTTCCTTTTTTTTTTTGTGAGACGGAGTCTCGCTCTGTCACCCAGCCTGGAGTGCATTGGCGTGATCTCTGCTCACTGCAACCTCCACCTCCCAGGTCCAAGCAATTCTCCCGCCTCAGCCTTGTGAGTAGCTGGAACTACAGTCATGCGCCACTACGCCCAGCTAATTTTTGTATTTTCTTTTTTAGTAGAGACAGCGTTTCACCATGTTGGCCAGGCTGGTCTCGACTCCTGACCTCAGGTGATCCGCCTGCCACAGCCTCCCAAAGTGCTGGGATTACAGGCGTGAGCCACCAAGCCCAGCCAAAACTGTAACTTTCTTATCTTTGAACAAGATGCTATTGTCAGGAGGGGAAGGGACAAAGGGGGAGCCACGGCAACAAACACTCTTACAGGGAAGGTCTGACATTTTAACCTGCAATCTTTATATTACACATTAAAAGTCTACATTGACGTTTCATGTCTTTTGAAAGTTTTGACCGTGAACCAATCCCCACCTCTCTTTTAGAACAAGGAGGTAAATAAAGTCTGTTAAGTCACCAGAATAAATCTGGAGACACATTTTCTGTTAAAGTAAGAATTTTAAAGTAATCAGAGCCTCATAGGTAAACTCCTTTGAGAAACCCCAAACACACACACACAACCATTTTTCTGCAGCCCTGGCTGTGACATTTTATACCTTTCACAATTATTTTAAGCACTCTCCTTTTTTCTCTTTCCTTCTGTGTTCAAATTACAGTTAGAAGAAACTAAGCAGCTTCTATCAAGGTGACTTAAAGCAGCCCATTAAGAATACCATATAGCCTCTCCCGTGGCAACCTCCATTCTGATTTTAAATAAGAAATCCCCAAATATTTGAATAGGAACTGTCCTGAGATTTGGCTACTTTAACAAAGGAAACAATTAGGCACTTACCTGGTTCCTTCACTTAGGTACCATCTGGATAGGTTCAAAGAAAAATTAAGATGGGTACTGAAAAGTTGGGATATTTGAGTTTTTATTGAGAAAAGGAAGAGAATAGCTCAAAGAAGCCTAAACAAAGTCCCACAGGATAATAAACAGAGCTACAGACACTGTTGTCTCACCATCTGTTTGAGAGTTCCTCTGGAATATTGTGCTTGCCTCTGGATTGGCAGAAAGGTTAAACTCCAAAGCTATATGTATAGAGGGAGAAAAGAAAAAGGACGTAATCATTTATAAAAATTTATCAACTCATTTATTCAACTGCTGCTTATTCGACAAGAGCCATAAATAAATGGTCCCATGCCAGCCTGGGAGAATGAGATGAGAGAGCAAGAACTGGGCGATTGGGAGGGGAGGTGAAAAGAAACTGACTGGACTCGGTGGGGAAAGACTAAGGGGTGGGAATTCAAGGCAGAGCCAGCTTTTGTTCCTGGCCAGCCCCCGGGAAAGCTGGCTACAAGCAGAAAGGAGCTCGAAGTGTAGGATGCCTCAAAGGGAACCTTGGGGACAGCAGCAGCCAGAGGCAAACCGAGGGTAGATGGCACCTATCACCTCCTTACCTTCAGGCATCTCCCGGTCACGAACCTGGTGCATGTGGAGGTCCTCACCAACTTCAACAGTCACCTCAGCAGGCTGTACAGCAGCAGCCATGGGCGCTCCTGCCATCCTGTCCTCAGCTACTGCCTCATAGATCTCAGATTCAGAGGGACACACCGACCCCTGCTGCTGGGTCAAACTCGAGGCTGACGCTAGGGTGCACACGACAGGTCAGTATGTTCCCCATGGGGCGCCTCTACTGCCTGCCACCACCTGTGCCTCTGCTCACAGCTTTGGCCACGCACTCCCGCTGTCCTAGGCCGAGGCTATGCTGCACTTGCAGAGATGGTCTTCCCGCTCCTCGCCTGCCCACCTCACAGTGCGGCCCCGGGCACCAGCCCTGGTCCCGGCCCCGGCCCCGGCCCCGGCTAGGGCTGTGGGCCAAGGCCCGCACCCTGCTGCCTCCCCTGAGTTGACTTGTCTGGGAGGGTGAAGACCAGCCGGCTTATTTAATAGGTTGTGAACCCAACAAGCGCTGAGAGACACAACAACTGCCTGAAGAGAGAACAGACGGAGCTCCTCCTCCTTCTGTAGTCACCTACAGACTGAAGCCCACTGGCCCCAGGTGGGAGCCCAGGCATGTGGCACACAATGCCCCACCCCACACTTCACAATGCCCTCCCCGACACCTCACAGTGCCCCACCCTGCCTGCCACCCCTCCCCAACAGCTCAGAATGCCCCTGCCTTGGCTGCCCCACCCTGTGGCTTATGATGCTGCTGCTCTCCTGGCCCCTCGTGCAGTGCCAGTGGGACTAAGGTTTTCATTCATCACCAGCTTCCTGAGATTTTAGTCCTAAGAAAAGCACAGGGTAGTTCATTCCTCGAAGCCAGCTTCCTCTATGAGTTCTACATAAAGCCTCAGTAGAGTGGGTCCCATTAGCAACCAAGTTGAACAACTTTTATTTGCTGTCTGAATATAGATACACCTGAATTGTTGACTGCTTTTGTAACTAAACACTCCTCTCCTGTCTTCCAACGAGTGGTCATTTTTGTCCGCAACTTGATCACAGCAATCCCTGGGGCCCTAGCTCTACTCTCAATAAAGAGTTATGGCTGTGTGTTTTGAATGACACCTTAGGACCCATCCTGCCTCCACCTCCTTCTCCATAAAATAGAAACCTAACTTGTCCCTCCAAGCTCTGAAATGCTGAAACTTACCAACTCCCTTTTCTCCCCGCTATTTCTTCCTTCCATGGCAGGGACTTTCAGATTTTCTTTCTTTTACTAACAAGGCACTAAACATGATTTTCTCATACAAAATCGAGAGCCATAAAGTGGCTTACCACAGTCCTATTTCAATAAAGATGAATACTCGACATCTGGCAAGTAGTGTGTGCCTGACAGTGTCCCCACTGTGCTATGCTCATTTAACCCTCAGAAACAATCTCATGTTACAGATTTTACAGAAGTTGTTGGGACAGAGAAGGTAAGTAAACCCCCCCAAGGTCACATGACTGCTAAGGGTGGGGCCATAGTTTGATCCCAGGTAGTCTGAATTCCCCAATTGCTTAAGCATGATTATCAGAAAGTATAGCAGTCTGTTTTCACACTGATATAAAGAAACACCTGAGGTTGGGTAATTTTTAAAGGAAAGAGGCTTAATTGACTCAGTTTCACATGGCTGGGGAGGCCTCAGGAAACTTACAATCATGGCAGAGGGGGAAGTCCTTCAGGAAACTTACAATCATGGCAGAAGGGCAGGTCCGACTTACATGGTGGCCGCACAGAGAGTGGGAACATGTGAAGGAGCAACTGTCAAACATGTATAAAACCATCAGATCTCAGCTGGGCACGGTGGCTCACACTTGTAACCCTAGTACTTTGGGAGGCCAAGGCAGGTGGATCAACTGAGGTCAGGAGTTTGAGACCAGCCTAGCTAATGTAGTGAAATCCTGTCTCTACTAAAAATACAAAAATTAGCTGGGTGTGGTGGTGCATGCCTGTAATCCCAGCTACTCAGGAGGCTGAGGCAGGAGAATCACTGGAACTCAAGAGGCAGAGACTGCAGTGAGCCAAGATCGTGCCATGGCACTCTTGCCTGGACAACAGAGCAAGCCTCTATCCCAGGAAACAAAACAAAACAAAACCCTATAAGATCTCATGAGGACTTACTGAATATCACAAGAACAGCATGAGGATAACTGCCCCTGTGATCCAATCACCTCCCCCTAGGCCCCTCCCTCGACACATCGGGATTATGGGGATTATAATTCATGATGATATTTGGGTGGGGACATGGCAAAACCATATCAGAAAGTAAAGGTAGAAGTCAAGCTTGGATGGGAAATGACATTGTAGATTATTATTATTATTATTATTATTATTATTATTTTGAGACGAAGTTTTGCTCTTGTTGCCCAGTGAAATTGTTTCTCTAATTTCATTTTCAGATTGTGTCTTGTAGATGTATAGAAATACAATTGATAAATGATTCTGGCTATTAACCTTTTATGCTTCAACCTTGCTGAACACTATTTTTTTTTTTTTTTTTTTGAGACGGAGTTTCGTTCTTGTTGCCCAGGCTGGACTGCAATGGCGTGATCTTGGCTCACTGCAACCTCCGCCTCCCGGGCTCAAGCGATTCTCCTGACTCAGCCTCCCGAGTAGCTGGGATTGCAGGCATGCGTCACCATGCCCGGCTAATTTTGTATTTTTAGTAGAGACGGGGTTTCTCCATGTTGGTCAGGCCCGCCTCAGCCTCCCAAAGTGCTAGGACTACAGGAATGAGCCATCGTGCCCAGCCAGATTCGTATATTTTTAAAAGAATTTTTTTTACTTTTTATTTTTTTTTTTTGAGACAGAGTCTCACTCTGTTGCCCAGGTAGTGGCACAATCATTGCTCACTGCAACCTCCACCTCCTGGGTCCAAGTGATTCTCATTCAAGTGCCTAAGCCTCCCAAGTAGCTGGGATTACAGGATCCCGCCCCCATGCTCAGCTAATGTTTGTATTTTTAGTAGAGATGGGGTTTCACCATGTTGCTCAGGTTGATCTCGAACTCCTGACCTCAGGTGATCCACCTGCCTTGGCCTCCCAAAGTGCTGGGATTGCAGGCGTGAGCCACCACTCCCGAACAGAACAACATTTTTTTGATGTGGATTTTAAAATGCCTCCCCTTCTTTCAACATTAAGTCCCTTCTACATGCCAGGCACTGTATGTGTGAAATAGTCCCAACTCTCAATGAGTGTAGGCAGATACACAAACAAAGGCTTAAGGAGGTCAGTTTTCTGAGACCATACTGCTGGACAGTATATGAACCTGGGATACAAACCCACCTCTATTTGACCTCAAATTTGATGCTGGGGTGGTTTTAATTTTATTCTGGGAATTTCAGTCATTCAACCATAAAAAGGTGAAAAGTCTCTGTCAGATGTGCGTGTAGTGGTCTGTATAATAAAGACTGAAGGAAGCAACCAAACCAATTAAGAGACTTTCTCTAAAGGCAGAGTAATGCTAAGGGCAGTGGCAGTGACAAAAGTGGAGGAAAAAATCTGTGATCATTTGGGAGACAGAATAGGAAGTGCTTGGTCATGAGATGTGAAAGAAGAGGGGAAGTAGAAGGAAAACAGAGCTGCTCAGGCTCTGCTGGGGAAGACTGGGTATGTAGCAGTGCCTTCCTCCTGGCCGAGAATGTAGGAAGAGAAATAGGTAAGGAGGAAAAGATAGTTTTTTACTCTCAGTGTCACATTAAAATGGAACTCTCTGGTCAAAAGTTGAATATAAATCTCTGTAGGCTAAGTCCATTTGTGACATCCCAACATATGTTTTCAAAAATAACATACACACTAAATCAAGCCATTAAGCGTAACTGGGGAAATTTCCTAAAATTTACATGCTAAAAAATCACCATTTTTCATTTATTACTTTCATGGAGCAACTTTGAATCTATGGTTACAGCAGGTGAGGCACCTTGTATAAAATAAAGCTAATACATGAAATAAAACCATTTAAAATTCTATTGTTCTCAGAGAATGGAGAAAGCAATTGAAGCCATGGGTGTGGAGGTGACTGCCTTGAGAAGTTGTGTATAGTAAGGAGAACTGGGAAGAAAGAAGACCTGGAGAATAGGGTGATTTGCACGGCATTAAGTGAAGCTTGAAAAAGTGAGCACTGGGAGTCAAGAGACATGTATGAATCAGGAATGGCTGCTCCTGTGAGTTGTTAGAAAGGAGATGATGCCTTCTTTTCATATCTATAACAGTAGCACCTAGCACAGTGCCTGTTCAATAGGTACTTGACATGTATTATCCCAATGCAGAGTCAAATTTTGCCAGGAAGGCAGGAAAGCTACAAATTAGCTATGGCAACTTAGTGATTGGGCTTGTGTGTGTGTGTGAGCGAGCTGGATGTCAGGCAGTAGGCAAAGTAGTGAACTGGAGGTGAGAAAACAATGACACAAACTCAGGGCTTCTCTTCCCAAGTATTTGGCTGAGAAGAGAGATGTAGTATTAAAGGGAGATATGTGGTAAAGGAAGACTTTTATTTCAAGATTCAACAAAAGCGTGAGTATACTTCTATGTTAAAGGGAAAGAGCCAATAGAAAAAACACATTTTTGAGGTTAGAAGAGAAGGAAGAACTAATGCAGAAGGGCCCCAAAAGGCACAGGTGCGTGTAATCCGGATCAGGGACAGATTAGCTTTGGATTCCTACAAAAGCAAGAAGGGAGAAAGGACCATGTGACACTAGAGCTATTTCTGGTAAAGGAAAGGTTTAGGAAAAGATCTTTTGATGACCTTTATTTTAACAGAATGTTTTTTTTTTTTTTTTTTTTTTGTTTTTTTTTTTTTTGAGATGGAGTCTTGCTCTGTCACCCAGGCTGGAGTGCAGTGGCACGATCTCGGCTCACTGCAACCTCTGCCTCCTGGGTTCATGCCATTCTCCTGCCTCAGCCTCCTGATTAGCTGGGACTACAGGCACCCGTTACCATGTCCAGCTAATTTTTTGTATTTTTAGTAAAGATGGGGTTTCAACGTGTTAGCCAGGATGGTCTCCATCTCTTGACTTCGTGATCCGCCCATCTCGGCCTCCCAAAGTCTGGGATTACAGGCGTGAGCCACTGCACCCGGCTAGACTTAAAAAAAAAAAAAAATACTGTGGGAAAAAGGATATTATGTATAGAAAAGTCTACACTTCTTGATACAACTAACTAAAAAAAGCCTGATACACTAAACAAAACCCAAATAATGTCTTCCCTAAAAGTGGGTAACTTGAAAAGCAATTCGAGCAAAAATCAAGGAGTTCAATTATAAATAAGTATATCAACAACGTGAAAGATGGGTTTAATTTTTCCCACAAAAAGTTAAAAGAAATAACAGCAGTTTTAGAGGAAGAGGAAAAAATAATAAGAAAATTACATGCAGTTGCAAAATGTGTGACTATTTACAAACTCTAACATATAACTACAAAACGGACCAGAAGAATCATTATCATAGGAAGCAAAGGGTCATTTCAAAAATCAGAGGAGGGATGATTCATATTTAATTTAATTCTGTGGAAAAAATTTAAGTAACCTTTGAGGACAAAAATAGGTGATATGTTGAAATGCGGGAAACCACAGTGGAAGGAAAAAGAATTCAAGAAAGCTCAGTTTCAGTAACCAGTATCTAGTAAAATCTTCAGGACCTAGAGGCTACAATCTGCATTAATAGTGTCTGAAGACCTAGAAATGTCATTAAATACCATTTTGGATAATTCTTGTAGACTTGAGATGATGTCTATTTAAAGTTACAAAATAGTGCCCGTATTTCTGTATTCACTACAGAAAACAATTGGATATGGAAAAGAAACTAACATGCTATGCCACAATCTCTAAAGAAAGATTAGGGATGTTTCAGCTTAAAGCAAGAATAATCACAATAAAGTTTTACAACCCTTTGCAAGCATATATGAAAAACTTACAAAAAGTTTGTAATGATCTTTTCTTAAGCTAAGAGAATGGAAAAAATGAGAAAAATTAAATTATAAAATGAAACTTTGGTTTAGAGGTAAGAAACATTTGATGACAGTCAAGAGATCAGGGTTGTACAGTGTATTATGTGAATGTTGTGACTCATTGGTTTCATCTTGAATATCATAACTTGACATTTTGTAAAAGTGATTTTTCATGGGAGTTTTTTCAGGTGCCCTGAAAAGTCCTGTCCCATGAGAAGCGAATAATAGTCTTCCATATTCTTGCGATATCTTAATGAATAGCATCTTCTACAGTCTTCCATTGTTTAGTCCTTGGAGAGACACTGACTGAAGCTGTGAGGTTTCACAATGACATGTCAGCCAAATACATATGCTCAGATTTACCATTTATCAAGAGGTCTTCACACTATCAATTGTGCAATTATCATTCTACACACAGGCAGTGATAAAGGGAGTAAAAAACCACAGCCATGGATCGGGAGACCAAGGTACCTCCAGAGGAGTCCAGTGGGTCCAGAAGCCCTTTGGATGTTGGTCAGAGGCTCCTCTTGGGCAGAGATCACAGCAGCAGCCAACAGGTCTGGTGAAATCCTTAAGAGTTCTCATGGACAAAGCTTGTGAAGGCATCTTAGACAAGATCTTGTCTTTGCTGGTTTTATGATCCTCTGCAGATGGGTCTATTCTCATTATCTCAGCCACCTTTCACATCCTATCAGTTCAGTTCAGGTCTCTCATGATCCCAGGCAGCAGTAGTTGTTATCACGTGAGTTCATTCATATATGTTTATCTCTTTGGGGATGGGGGGACAACTTCACTGTGGACTTAATTCTACTGGAGATGAGTGACCCCATTTTAAGACAACAGGATCACAAATTATTATCACATATCAGCAGGGCAGACAATAGCTACGACCTGGGGCTGAAAGCAGGTAACTCCATTTATTCTGTAAACATTGTCTTGATTATGGTGCCAGTTGCTGTGAGGGATTTCCTTTCCACCACCTGTTTTTCACAAGGTTTGAGTCTGAACTGCTAACATTCTACTGATTTCTGGGTGAAGGGACTGACTGCACCATCCTACCCTGTCAGAGCACTTGCCCCAGTACTTCCACTTTAAGAGTTTTCCACCTTGTCCAGAACTACAGTCCATTAATCCCCTCATTTTCTCTCTTAAGAGAATAAACAGGCCAGGCGCAGTGGCTCACGCCTGTAATCCCAGCACTTTGGGAGGCTGAGGCGGGTGGATCATCTGAGGTCAGGAGTTCGAGACCAGCTTCGCCTACATAGTGAAATCTCGTCTCCACTAAAAAAAAAAATCACAAAAATTAGCCGGGCGTGGTGGCAGGCGCCTGTAATCCCAGCTACTCGGGAGGCTGAGGCAGGAGAATCCCTTGAACCCAGGAGGCAGAGGTTGCAGTGAGCCAAGACTGTGCCACAGCACTCCAGCCTGGGTGACAGAGTGAGACTCCCTCTCAAAAAAAAAAAAAAGAAAAAAAAGAGAGAGAAAATAAACAACACATCTCAAGTACACACCCACATCCCTCTTATCCCAAATACCAAACACACAAAAATCCAATCTGTCTCCTTCTACCTAAGCAATTTTAGATAGTCACTGTCTCATAATTACCTTAAGCTCCCTGACTTGCTGCTCATCCTTTCTCTGGCAAAATCTCATCCTTGGATGAGCCCGACTTTGTGTTTGCTCAATGACACCACTCACCTGAACCAGAAAAAATATCAAAAAGTGGTCAGAGATATCATCATAAATTCAAATTACTTACACAAAAAATTGGCCCTAAATGTTTCCAGAAATCAATAAAAGTTTTGTTTCTCCAATGACATCATTTCTTCAGAAACCCAATGTGTATAACCTATTTTTTCTATGTTCTTCTAACATTTATTCAACTTCTCTCATCTGATATCTTGCCAAATCATTCAAAGAGAAAATATATCCCATTAGGCAAGAGCCCACCATATTCCCATCACCTGAGAAAATCATATGCACAGGATGCACCCACCTCACCTTTCTCTGCCTCATCATGTCAGAAAAAGTACCCCACCTTTTGTCACAAGGCAAACCTGAGATAAAAGATTTAGATGGCCTGTAATTCCAGCACTTGGGGAGACCAATGCAGGCAGATTATTTGAGTCTAAGAGTTCAAAAGAAGCCTAAGCAACTTAGGGAAACTGCATCTCTCAAACAAATACAAACCATTAGCCTAGCATGGTGGTGTGGTGGCACATGCCTGTAGTCCCAGCTACTCAGGGTGGGGAGCACTGAGGTGGGAGGATCACCTGAGCTGGAAGGTTGTGGCTGCAGTGAGCCGTGATCACGTCACTGCACTCCAGCCACGGTAACAGATATTTTTAAAAGGATCTTCTCTGTTAAAAATAATCAAATAAACAGGTGGCCATGAGGCTGAGGTGGCTGCCGTGCACTCAATTCCTCCTTAAATAAACCAAAACTTGACTCAGTGTAAATAATAAAAGGAAATGTAAGAACCAATCAGAAACCACCAACTAACATCTAACTAGAGACCTTCCACTGTAATGTTCCAAATGAGGCCACTGCTCCACTTTACCCAATCAAGTATTTTCTTTTTCTTCCACATTCACCATATAAAATTCTTCCCCCACCCTCCCTAAGCCTCTCTGTGGGACCTCTGAGCTGCTTGCAGTCTGGGGCTGCCTAGTTTATACATTTCTGAATGCTCAAATATATTTTCTAATGTTTCAAAGTGGCTCTGGTGTAGGAGGTTGTTGGTGGAGTGACCCGAGAGTATACAGGAATTGAGGGCATATGAGATCTCTGGACTCTGCACTCCATTTTGCTGTACACTCAAAACTACTCTAAAATAATAATATATCTTTAAAAATCTATAACTAGCACGTAGCCCTTTTCAAGCCTCCAACTGGTTGGAGCCAGTTCGATTAAAGCTCAGAAGAAAAACTGGTTAATAAGCTAGTTCTGACCCAACTGGCAAGAAGCGGCAGGAAAGACCCAGGCCAGGGGAGCATATTGCACATGCATGCACCAGGAAACTGGAGGAAGCTTGGAGGCCCTTTAGCCTGGTCCTGAGCCCGCTGAAACTGCAGTTACAGCACAGATGCCTGGGGCACCAATCTGAATCTGCCAACATCCAAGGCCACATGAACACAAATGCGCAGTCTCCTCTGCGATCGGTAGCTAAGGATGTTAGGCCATGATTGGACTAGGATGGGAGATGAACTGAGAACTATGGATTCTGTAGGTTGTTGTTGTCTCTTCCCACCCCAAGCAACAAGTGATGAACACACACACACACACACACACACACACACACACACACACACACACATCCCGTAGTGACTAACAGGATCTCCCTCCAGGGGATTTGCAGAAAGGGGAGCAGAAAACATCCCAGGGGCCTTTCACAGCTACTTCCTTGAGCCCCCTTTCAGACTGCTGTCTAGACCTGTCGCAGCCCAAACATCACCACCCTGATATGCAGAAGCTGGCATCCTTACCTGAAATTCAACACCAAGAAATGATCTCTTCTACTCAACACTGATAGAAATACCTCTAAGCAATGTCCTCATTGGCAGGGGTGGAGTGGGGGAGTTTCTTAAAAAGTGAGGCCTCTGCCTACCACCTAGAGAACCTGGAAATTTCCATCTGTGCCACAAAGTCCAAATCACTGGCCACTGCCCCAGTGTATGGCAGATTAGAACATCTCTCCATTAGATCTGGGTTTCTATTCCATTGAGTGAAATGGCTTTTCTATTACAGGAACAGAATAAGGGATCAAAAGGGTCTTACAACTGAACTCCAGTGTACAGTCTGCACAGACACTAGGCTTGTGCAAATATGACACAGCGAGGCCCCAGGACCCTTAAGCCAGCTGAATGTACTGAGTTTCAGGAAACAGTGAGATACGTTCAGCAAAACAGTGGGCTTCATGCTGAAAGAAGTCATTCCAAGTAAACACACATCTCACACACACACACACACACACACACACACACACCCGCAGACACCCTAGTGGCCAATAGGTCCTCTCACCAAAAACCTGTGATCAGGAGAGCAGAAAGCCTCCCAGGGGTCCATCACTGCCCTTTCTGGAGCCCCTTATCAGATGGCCAGCCCCAGGACAGCACTGTCTGATCCTGGTCCAGTCCAAACCACCATCACCCTGTGATGTGGGAGCTAGCCACTTCACCAGAACCTCTGTGTCAGAAAAATTTCTCTTCCTTTTAAAATGATGAGGGGGAACCTTCAGACAGTGTCTGATTAGGGTGGGTGGAGAGAGGGGTTTCCTAGAAAGTCAGGCAGGGCAGGGCTGAAGCCCTCTGGGTTAACTGAGTGCTTTTGATATGAAGGCAGGTAAGACTGGACAGGTGGGGGTGTTAGTGAGGGGATGGTGTAGGGTGTGCTGAAGAACTCCACTTGGGCTCTCCACACCAGGGAAAATGACCATAAAACATCCCATCTTCACTGCTCAGAGAAGGCTAGATCTGCTGTGAGCTAGAAAGCCATGTGGGGGCAGCTGATGAGTCATCAAATGGGAGAAATCTGAGAGCCATGTGTTCCACAGGCCTCTGGTCCTTGTTCAGGCAGCAGGGCACTGTGACATGTGGCTCCTTGGCCCCTTCCAGCCACCACCTTGATTGCATGCTGCAGGGAAAGAGACTGAAGACCAAGAATGGGGTCTTGCTCACCATGGGATGATGGCTCAGTACAGAGCTGAGCTATGTATGGCCCAAGAGGCAGAACGTGGGGATGACCCAGGCTGAGCTGGGGGATCCAACTGAACATGCACTTGCTAAGAAGCTGTGGGCTATGATGCCTTGGGACCCCAGTCTGGGTCTAGAATTGTAGCAAAACAGGCTACTGGTAAAAGTTCTTGAGAAGCCAACTCACTTTTGCTGTCATCCATGGGCAAACAAACCAAGCCCCACCACTTCCCACTCCCTCTGAAAGCCTCCTGCCCCTCTGATCGACCACACCACAATGGTGTCACTCTGTAAGGCACAGGTAGACAAGGCATCCAGCCATGAACACTCCAGGGCGCACACATGTCCAGAATACACTGGTTCTTGTTGAGACTCCACTCTTCCAACTCAGACAGAAGCTCCCCAATCTCCTCAGCCACTCCCAACAACTGGAGGTCTGAAAACTTTCATGCATGCCGCTATGGTCTAAACCACTCGTGGCGGTTTTCATTTTCATTTTCCTGATAATCAGTGATGCTGAGCACCTTTCCATATGCCTTTTCACCAACTGGATGCCTTCTATGGCTAAATGTCTATTCAAATCCATTGCCCATTTACAAATCTGCTTTTTTGTGGGCTTCTTGATGTTTTTCTCTTTTTTTTTCCTATTTATTTATACAAGTTCCTTAGGTATTTTGGATATTTTTTAAAATCATTTTCAATTCCACTGCCCAGTTATAATTTTTTTTTTTTTTTTTTTTTTTTTGAGACGGAGTTTTGCTGTTATTGCCCAGGCTAGAGTGCAATGGTGCGATCTTGGCTCACAGCAACCTCCACCTCCCAGAGTCAAGCAATTCTCCTGCCTCAGCCTCCTGAGTAGCTGGGATTACAGGCATGTGCCACCATGCCCAGCTAATTTTTGTATTTTTAGTAGAGATGGGTTTTTTCCATGTTGGTCAGGCTGGTCTCAAACTCCCGGTCTCAGGTGATCCATCCACCTCGGCCTCCCAAAGTGCTGGGATTACAGGCGTGAGCCACTGTGCCCGGCCAATTATCCCTTTTTGTGTTTTTTTGGGGGGTTGGGGGAAGAACAGAGTCTCACTCTGTCATCTAGGCTGGAGTGCACTGGTATGATCTCGGCTCACTGCAGCCTCCGCCTCCCAGGTTCCAGCGATTCTCCGGACTCAGTCTCCCGGGTAGCTAAGATCATGGGCGCGCAACACATGCCCAGCTAATTTTTGTATTTTTAGTAGAGACAGGGTTTCACCATGTTGGCCAGGTTGTTCTCAAACTCCTGACCTCAGGTGATCCGCCCACCTCGGTCTCCCAAAGTGTTGGGATTACAGGCGGGAGCCACCACTCCCGACCCCATTTTGTGTTTTAACATCAGTCAACACTCCTATTTTAAAATAATAACAATGAATGGCGGTACCTTAGAACAAAGGAATTATAGATCTTTCTCTTGTCTTAGTGCAGACATTTTGTCTATAAAATGTTATTCACAGATGAACTCATGAGAACATTACTGTGAATTTTAAATCCATATACAAGTGTATGCTCATTCATGAATATTTCAATAAAATAAAACTAATAGCAAAAAAGAATTCCAGAGTTGAAGCAGTTTCAGGAAAAAGGAGTTGGCAGTATGAAGTAAAATAGCAAAAAAAATTTTTTTTTAAATGGGTATATTTGTGTCTACAACTTTTTTTTAATTATAGCATTAGACAATGTGTATATAGATACGTATATAAAGCAATGGAAGTGGCATTGTTTTCATACTAGTCTAGAATATTAAAAAATATGTAATATGTGATCAGCAAAATAATGGCCCCCCAAAGATGTCCACAGATTCCTAGAACCTTACATGAAAACGGTACATCATGCATGTGATTCAGGTAAAGACCTTGACATGAGGAGACTACCCTGGTGCTATGGAATGAACGTTGTGTTCCGTCACTGTTCATGTGTTAAAATCCTAACCCTCAAGGTGATGGCATTAGGAGGTTAAGCCTTACGGGAGACTCTGCCCTCATGACTGGGATTAGCACCTTATTAAAGGCACAAGGGAGCTTGTTTGTTCCTCTCACCATGCGAAGACACAGCAAGAAGGAAGCCTCTATGAGAAAGCAGGCCTTCACCAGACACCAAGACTGCCGGCACCTTGATCTTGCACTTCTCAGCCTCCAGGACTGTGAGAAACAAAGTTCTGTTATTTATAAGCTACCTGGTCTAATGCATTTCCTTGTAGCAGCCTGTATGGATTAGGACAGTGGGCTCATGTGGATGATGACGGTGTCTCCATTCAGGACTAAGTAAGCACATGAGTCCTTAACAGTGGAAGAGAAGGGGGAAGGAAAGAGCCACAGAGACATGTGGCCATAGAAGAAGGGCCCATGGGATGCAAGGTTGCTAATGGTGAGAGTGGAGAAGAGCCCAAAGCCAAAAAATGCAGGCAGACTCCAGAATGTGGAAAAGGCGAGAAAAAAGATCCCCTAGAGCCTCTAGAGATGAAGGTAGCCTTTCCACCACCTAGATTTTAGCCCAGTGAGATCCACATCACACTCTGACATACGGGAGTGTAATAAATTTGTTTTATGCCCTGACATACTGGTAGTTTGTTGTAGCAGCAATGGACTAGTAATATATAAATATATATATACACACACACACATAAACACTACCCCCCCCACCACACACACAACATAACTATCTATATATATCCCGCCCTTCAAAACTGAATCAGATAAACTACACATTAGCATTAACTTAGCTGGGTGTGGTGGCACATGCCTGTAGTCCCAGCTACACAGGACGCTGAGAGGGAGGATCACTTGAGCCCAGGAGTTTAAGATCAGCCTGGGCAAACACACTGAGGCCACATTTCAAAAACAAACAAACAAAAAACACAACAAATATTTGATTAAGCTCATTTCCCAAATTTGAAGAGGAAACAATTATTAGATAAAGAGGAGAAAAGAGAAAGGTAGAGCTGCTGACTTCTGTGGTGGAAGCACAGGCACAGGCCCAAACATACTCCTGTCCTCCTGGCTTTCCTGTCCCTTCTCATAAGGGACACAGGAACCTCTCAAACTGAACCATGGATCACAGAACCATACTCAGAACGCAATACAGTTTTGTCTACAATTTTTTATATATCTGTGTCCCTGTCTCTGCCTCCCATTCCCAACTCCCTTACTCTTGTTAGAAAAAAATGGCTATTATCAAATATGAGTACATCCTTATATACTAATGCCAACTGATCACCAGCTGGTTTTCTTCTTTTACAAAGTCATAAATATTTAGGCTTTAACACATCTTCCAAGCAATAGAATGTTATTTTCCAGTTCATTAACACAAATTCTATATCTAAAATGAAGACTTCACAAGTTGATTTAAATAACATATTAACGAAAATCGACTGGCCATGGTTCAAACTGACATTTTAATTAAATGTGATGATAGGTTGAGTAACCTAGCAGTACTCTAAAATGACTTTTGGTTATGGCTTTTTCCATATTATGCTTAGGTTGAGGCATCCCTAAATGATTCAATTGTAATTCCCCTTCTTAAACATGAGATTTATCTTTACAAAATAATTTATTTTCTTAAAATTACAAGTTAATTCTATAGTTCATGCATACATAATCTCAGTAGATATCAGCTGTATGTGTACACACATACATATAGGTATTTGTATATACACACATTACATAATTTAAAAAAAACTTATTAGCAGGGTACAACCACGAAGACAAAGAGGCTTTGTGTAATGTGATGGAAACACAACTGCAGGACAAACAACAGGCTGCTGTGAGGGCTGTATTTACCCTTTCTGATGTAAGACTTGGAAAAACATGGATACTGGATATCTAATCCCCATAACAGAAAATTTAGGGTGCAGAAAACTTCCCACAATTTTTACAGACAATGTCAATAGAAAGGCATTCAATGCAGGGAATACACAGTGTGACAGTATACAAAAATAAGCAGGTTGATGGTTTAGATTTATGAGACAAGAGAAAGAAATAGTAGATGATGTCATAATTCTCCTTTTATGGAGTTATGAAAATTCTTCATTTTATATAAGGTCAGGTGCTTTCAAATGTCAATGAGAAAAATATTTAAAGGAAGAATCAAATCTAAGACGTAGAGAGATCTTTATAAATGTGAACTTCAGGCCAGGCACGGTGGCTCATACCTGTAATCCCAGCATTTTGGGAGGCCTAGGTGGGCCAATCACGAGGTCAGGGGATCAAGACCATCCTGGCCCACATGGCG
The DNA here is from genome assembly GCF_000001405.40 of Homo sapiens. NCBI lineage: Eukaryota > Metazoa > Chordata > Mammalia > Primates > Hominidae > Homo > Homo sapiens. The sequence continues at coordinate 264,576 of NW_021160001.1, forward strand.
AAACCCCGTATCTACTAAAATACAAAAAATCAGCCAGGAGTGGTGACGTGTGCCTGTAGTCCCAGCTACTCAGGAGGCTGAGGCAGGAGAATCACTTGAACCCGGGAGGCAGAGGTTGCAGTGAGCCGAGATAGCACTACTGCACTCCAGTCTGGTGACAGAGCAAGACTCCATCTCAAAAAAAAACAACAACAACTTTTTTTCATGCTGAGAAGATATAATCATCAACACATTCTTGAGCACAACTATGCACACAGGCACTTCCGCATTCACAAGCCATGCTGTGTGCACACACTGATGCCCCTAGATTCCTTTTTTGAAGAGATGGTCTCTTGGTGTGTCACCCAGGCTGGAGAGCAGTGTTAGGATCATAGCTCACTGCAGCCTCAAACTCCTGGGTTCAAGTGATCCTCCTACCTCAGGCTCCTGAGTAGCCTGAACTATAGGAATGAGCCACCATGCCCAGCCAATGTTTTCATTTTTTTGTAGAGATGAAATCTTGCTATGTTGCCCAGGCGGGTCTTGAACTCTTGGCCTCAAGGAATCCTCCTGCCTTGCCCTCCCAACATGCTGAGATTACAGGTGTGAACCATTGTGCCCAGCCACCGGATTCTTTATTAAGAAGAAAACTTGTTTGCTGACATGTAGGCAATGAATTGATGAATAGTAGTTCATAAATTACTAATTTACAAGTCAATATAAATGAGTTGAGTAAACACAAAATAACAGCATAAATTAATAAACAGTTTACGACCTCAAGTTTCTTTTTTTCCTTTAAAACATTGCTCTGACAGAGACTACTACTTGTCCATTCCATGGAAAAGTCAGAGGTGGTTAAAATGTCAGAGGTACACTTATTAACACCTTGCTGCCTTTTGTGTAGCTTCCTCTCAGTACTTCACCAGTTGGGATTGACACACCTCTCCAGCTGGGTTCAGGAGCCAGACAGGAGCACACAGAACAGGGAATCCAAAGCCATCTCTGACACCAAAAGCAATGAAAACAAAAATAACCAAACATATTATCAAGAAATGAACAAGAGATCGATATCAAGTACAGCAAAAAGAGAAGAAATCACTTAATCTGCCAGGCTTTCATTCTGACAAAATAATTTACAACACGCATGTCTCTATCTGACATGTGTGAATAGAAAAAGAAGAGGTGACAATAGAGTAGAGGATTCGTCTTCCAATTGTCTCTGATCTATCCAACCTTTGTTACACATCAGAGAGCTCTCCAATTTATAAATAAACAACAGAGATATGTGGCAACCAGGACACAGAGACATACTGAGAGTACTGCTCAGCTCTCTGCCTAGGCCTGATTCTGATGATCCCTGACAATGAGCACTGTGAAATTTACAGCAAATCAGTACACATACACACAAACACACAAAAGAGATACTTCATGGGCAAAAAGCATCAAAGATATAAAATAAAATGCCTGAAAGACCATAAAACAACTTCTGATGAAATGCTGTTTTCATTTTGCAGTAGTAAAATATTCACCACCAAATCTACAATTAGCTTAAAAATTACAATAAGTACAGTACTTTTGGATCCCATCTCCAATTCACACCTTATCAACATGTAATAATCACACTGCATCTACAACAAAGCTGGATGGACTTTATGTGCTGAATACAACTTGTACACTAAGAAGGAAATTTTTTGAAATAATGAGAATACAAAATTTGTATGCCATGCTCTACTTCACAAGTTAAAAGAAAATACAATCATTTCTATTTTTAAAATGCATTGAAATAAAATACAGAAAAGAGTATTCTAATACCAGTTAACATTAAGAGAATATATCTCTAAACCAAAGATCTTGGATCTTCTAGAAAGACAAAATCAGCTGGTATATATTTGGATAAGAAAAAAAAATTAAGAGATCAAGAAAGGAGAGAAGACGTTCGCACAGAATCATCTCCAAAAATGGCTTTCTGACGCATTCGACCAGTTTTCAAGTCTATTTGTTTTTCCTCCTTTGGCATCAACAGCCTATATCACCAAGGATATGCAAAATAATTCAATTTGTACATTAATCAGCTAATCTAGAACTGGAAATATAGTCAATGAAAATACAAAAGAAACAGAAAATGTCAATGAATTGCTTAAGATGTTTAAGATGACATAGCGTAGGGAAAAAATGATCTGATAAACACCGGAAGAGTTAATAAGGAAACTGAGGCATGGTTCCCTAACACCACACTTCAAAAGAACTTATAGAGAGAATAAAGGAATAACCCTTAAAAAAAAAAAATCTAATTTTAGAAAAAAATTGCTCAAAAGGGAAGTTAGGGTTTTATAGATCTTCTGGAAAGCTGATTAATTTCTAAGCTAAAAACGCATGATCCTTAAGAGAAATGGCTGAGTCCAGGCCCAAGGCAGGAAGAGGACAAAATGAGCCTGGATCCTCTGGTTCTGTCAGAAAGTAAGAAATGCTCAAAGACTAACAGAGACAGTTGAAGGGACACAGGAGACAGGCCGAAGGCTCCCGCAGCCGAATCTGGGACAGCATAGGCATCAGAAAGTACAATGACAGTGATGGAAAATAACCCATGGAATAAAACGCAAGTGCATTAGTCAGCCGTGATGCTGAAACAAAGGGGAGAAGAGAAAGCTCTTTGTTAAAAATGCCAGGTAACAAACTTAGAAGGAATGACAGAGGAATAACATCCATTTTGAGTCAACAGTGCCATAACTGATAGAGAAGATTATCAGGGGGCTAAAATCACTGGATGAAAGAAAACTATATGAAGCTTTTTAACGTAGCACAATAGATAAAAGTATGAAAACATAAATTAGAAAAAACTAAAAATCATACCATAAGGGATGGATAAGTTAGAATACAGGAATAACAGGCCAGGCATAGTGGCTCACATATGTAATCCCAGGATTTTGGGAGGCCAAGTCGGGAGGATTGCTTGAGCCCAGGAGTTCGAGACCAGCCTAGGCAACATAGTGAGAACTCGTCCCTAGAACAGAACAAAAAAAATTAGCCGGGAGTGGTGGTGCACTCCTGTAGTCCTAGCTACTTGCGGGGCTGAAGCAGGAGGATCACTTGAGCCTGGGAGTTCAAGGCTGCAGTGAGCCAAGATCACACCACTGCACTCCAGCCTGGGAGACAAAGTGAGACCTTATCTCAAAACAAAAACAAAAACAAAAACAAAAACAAAGAAGCCACAATAACAAAAAAACACTGGTAACAATAAAATCATGATTACATAAAGACTGTATAGAAAAAAAATCCTCAGAATATAGAAATAAAATTATGTATTTTACCTGTAGCTATATTAGAAGAGAGTATTCTTGTAGACAAGGATGACTAGAAGGATATGCAAAAATGAAAACAGCTAATAACACTCATTACGTCAGGCACTGTGGTAGGTAGTTTATGCACATTGTAACAAATTATATACTACATTATCTCAAGATTTTCAGATAAATTTTACTGGGAGTCATAAATCAATACAACAAAATCAATGTTTTGCAAACATCCACTAAGCATAAAGGTATACAAATTCCCAACCCAGACTGAAAAATAATTCACATAAGCCACACATTAGTGGAAACCTACCCATGGGAGATAATACAACATAATCTAAATAAAACTTTCAGAGACAAGGCATGTGGCTTCTGGACAGCCACAAACTCCCTGACTCTGCTCTAGTGTTTTGGCCATCAAAAGAAAGCCAAGTGGCCTCAGGTCTCTGAAAAACCAAAAAAGCAACCTATGGAAGATGGCGTGGTATTTGAGGAATATTTGAAGTCTGTTGAAAAATGCATCCTGTATTTTTTTTCAAGATAAGACTCCCTTGTAATGTCAGGTAAGTGAAGAGCCCTCAGAGACACATGCACACACAAAGAAAAACAAAACGACATAGAATGAATCCCACCAAAATGTGTTATGATGGCAGAATTATGGGTGATACGATCTTCTGTAATATATCTTTTTATTAAAAATAGAAAAAAAGCAGACTTACCCTTGATTATCTATAGCCTCTGACCCAAGTGGTTTGGAATTGGAAAGCAGCGTCACTCGACTTGAAGCCATCTTGGCATCAATGGTGGAGTAGGTGGAGATGAGACTCTGGACCAGCTCATGGGTGAGCCCCACCTTGTCCTATCAAGGCCACCAAGAAAGGGCACGTGAGGAAAGCACAAAGATCCTGGAGAGACACTGGTTTCACTCAGTTTCTCAAAATTATCTTAGACACATTTCCTGAGATCTTTTCTTAATGCCACAAACACCAGAGAAGAAAATCCTTATAACAAAGCTTGAAATGGATCCCCATCTCCATTAAACTTGTCCAAAGCTCAGTGAGTATATAACCTGATAACCTAAACACCTAGCTAGAAAAACCTCAGTTCCAGTGCTACAACAGTGCTAGCTTTTCTAACATTTTTAAATAACCCTGCTTTTAACCCAATAAAATTCAACTACAGAACTAAGAAATAAATATTGGAAATCCACTTTAAAATAATGAGGAGACCACTGTGATTGAGAAAAAGAAAAAGACAAACGAGAGCTGGAAAGCACACTGATTTTGTAGAAACAGAAATAAGCCGTGCAGGTGCCACACTGGCAGCAGTGCCCGCGCTGGGGCCACGGATCAAGGAGGCATGGAGGACAGGACTCTTCTGCTTGGTACAATGAAAAAATGGTATTCTTTTTATTCTACATATTGACAATATGCATTTGGGCCTTTATTATAAGTACAAGAGAAAAATCTTCAATAAATAAAAGCTGAGTACATTACTTTTTTTGATTAAAAAATAGATTAGGAAAGAATAATGAGAGTTCAGAGCAAAGACTCCTGCCTCACTGATGCCTGAAAACCGTGGCTGCCACCAAGGTCAACACAGACAGCGTCTTTGTCATACAGCACACCCTCAACTCCAGAAACAGGCACATAAACCAGCTGCTCCTTCTTATTTAAACAGCACTTCTTTTGTTATTCAGGAAGAACACAAGGGTCTGGGAGGAAACCGATGTCACTCATGGCAAAATGTTCTACCCCTGGAAGACGGGACCCAAAAAGCCAGCTTCAACTGACAAGAAGTCAGTAAGTATCTACTGTTGACTGGGGGGTTAAAAACGATCCACAGTCCAAGGGCTTAACCCATGACCCTAAAGAAGGGCATTGTGCCACACTGGAACAGTGGCCCTCTAGCTACAAGAGGTCAGAGAAGAGGGATTCGGTAACACCTTTGCAGGCCTACACATAGCTGGCTTACTTTTAAAACCTCCAGCAAGGCCATCTTCCCTTGTTTGGTCATTTTTCATTTTTCCTGAGAAATGAAGCCATCCCAAGAATCCTATGTGCAATTCTAGTATGTTCTACAACAAGAGAATACCTGGCATGTGAATTTGGCTTTTATCTTTGAAGTGTGCTCCTCTTAAATAACCATAAAGTGACACCTGCCGGTCACATTTGATGTTTGTTTGGATATCCTCCGGGTTTGTCAAATCTTCCATCCTAGAAAAATAAACTCAATCGTACAGCAGAAATGAATGCCAAAGTTCCTATACCTCCTTTCATGTGTCAATGACTCATCACACTCTTGTCCACTAAGCACATCACTTAGGAACTAGAAAATGCAGAAATAAGGAAGCACCGTTCACCATCCAGCAGAGGAAAAGGGGCAGGCACACAACTGTGTCTCTAGGCTGAAAGTGACATTCATTCCATAAGACACCAGATGGGAGACGACGTCCACCTGGGGTCAGGGAAGAGTGAAGAACATATGCAGAAAATCCGTTTCTGGAAGAGGGTGAGCCTGTGCTCTGGGATTTGTACTGTGGCTTGGATTCTGGCAGGTGGAAAAGGGGTATTCCAGGCTGAGAAAATCACAGCACAAAGAAGAGCACAAAGGAAGGAAACTGAAGGCACGCACGAAGGACTCCAGCACCTGGGCACGAAGGCAGCATCACTGAAAACCGAGGCTGAACGTAGGATGGGGCCACATCCTGTAGCCTTAAATGCTTTCAAGTCCTCCCATTTTCCTAAACATCTCATAATTAATTTACTCCCAAAGGCACAGCATCTTTGAGCAATGATATAAGTAGACATTTTCCATCAACTGCACTTCTACCCCCACTATTCAAATAGGCACAAAATAAATCCTATCACTGTTCTTTTTCTAGCCTTTTTAGCTTTGAAATACATGGCCCAGGAAGAAAAAGTTTACAATCACTTTTTACCTGTCTGCCAGGATATAAGGGTGAAAAGTTTGCCATGAGAGGCCTAAACTTCATAACTGTAATAAAATGGCCCAGATTGTGGATTTCTTGGTTTTGATATTCTCCATGCACCATTCCAGAAAGGTAGAACAGTTTGGCAACCTAAACATTAAAGGAAAATTAAAAATTAAATTTCAATTAAATTCTCGTCAATACTGCAACAAAATAAAAGCTCTAAACAAGAAGCAATCCTAAGAAGGGAGACTTCCAGCAAAGCCACTGTCCTGAGGCTTCCAGAGCCTTGCTGGATTCTTTCAGGACTTATTAGAACCACACAGAGGCAGACTGCTCTGCAACCAAGCCGGTGCATCTGTCTAAGTATGGTGAGGAGAGGGAGGTGAGGCCTCTGAGCACAGAAAGGGTTCTGTGGCCGATGGACCACAGCAGTATGGAAAGGAAGGGGCAGTGCCTGGTCCTGTAACTGGGAGAAACTTCTGATGTACTCTATTAAGTCCCGACTCCAAAACACCCAGACATTGCCTGGTGCAGCAGGTACGGAGACAAATGAGATACACCAAGAGGCCCAGAATAACCACTCTCTTGAGGGACACCTTCCAGAGACTGGGAACACATACACAAAGGGAATTCAGGAGGCAATTCCTAGAGAGATGTTTAGTAATGTCTCTTCAGTCTTTTTGTTTGTTTGTTTGTTTGTTTGTTTGTTTGAGATGGAGTCTCACTCTGTCACCCAGGCTGGAGTGCAGTGGTGCACTCTCAGCTCACTCCACCCTCTGCCTCCCAGCTTTGAGCAATTCTCACGTCTCAGCCTCCCTAGTAGCTGGGATTACAGGTGCATGCCACCACACCCGACTAATTTTTGCCTTTTGAGTAGAGACAGGGTTTGGCCATATTGCCCTGAGCTCGAAACTCCTGGCCTCAAGTGATCCACCTGACTCTGCCTCCCAAAGTGCTGGGATTACAGGCATGAGCCACTGTGCCTGGCCTCTTTAGTCTGGTTTTAAAGGATTATACTGTTAGTGTCTAACAATTATTTCTCTTCCTACCTGGTAAACTTCTGTCCAGAACCTGTGTTTTAATCGCTTCTTTGTCTTCTTCAGTTGCTTGTTATGCTTGAAGGAGTCGAGGTGGGTGAGAACTCCCAGAATTTTAGGAAAGCCATGTGCTTGACAGATGTTTAGAAACTCAAACATTTCCATTTCAAACCCAAAGCTGGCATCTATAAGCATCAGTACCTACAAGCACAACACATTATTTCTCGAAGAAACTACCAAAACAGACCACCTACACTAGGGGTTGGCAACTGGCCCACGGGCCAAATCCAGCCCATCACCTGTGTTTGTAACTAAAGTTTTATTGGAACATAGCCACATTAATTCCTTTACATATTGTCTATGGCCGCCTGTGCACTACAACTGCAGAGCTAAGTAGCTGCAGAAGATATGATCCACAAAGCTGAAAATATTCACTATCTGGCCCTCGACAGAAAAGTCCCACTCCAGACTAAATCAAATGACTACACAGGCATCACCCAGACAGAGAAACCACCACCCTCTGACTTGCTCTAAAAGGCAACCATAAGACAAGGCCACTAGGATATAAACATCCATTTTAAGAATTCTAATGCATGAGAAGTAACTCAGAAAAGGCTGGGTCTAACCTGGCCCTTACCTAAGAAATCCTAATTTAAAGAAATGAAGTTTTCTGTAATGTATTTTTAAGCCAAATAACAGGTCTCTGACATCCAAAGAATGGGAAGAAAGTGATAATCAATGAAATATATTAAATATGTACAGAAAACCAACCTCTTCTTTCAATCTCCTCACAGAAAAAAAAAAAAAATCTGTTTTTTTTGCTGGGAAGTATGCAATGGAAACCTCTATCTTGTATGTTAATTTGTGTAACTCAATTGCTCAGAAATATTTGAAATAGCTACCAGTTTAGAATTAAGTAAAAAAACAGAAAGATTATGATGAATGGTAGTCTATAAGAAAATATAAGCAGATAAGACCAATTTTTTTTTTCTTTTTTGAGACAGAGTCTCGCTCTGTTGCCCAGGCTGGAGTGCAGTGGCTAGATCTCGGCTCAGCGCAAGCTCCGCCCCCCGGATTCATGCCATTCTTCTGCCTCAGCCTCCTGAGTAGCTGGGACTACAGGCGCCCACCACCACGCCCGGCTATTTTTTTTGTATTTTTTTAGTAGAGACAGGGTTTCACAGTGTTCACCAGGATGGTCTCGATCTCCTGACCCCGTGATCTGCCTGCCTTGGCCTCCGAAGTGCTGGGATTACAGGCGTGAGCCACCGCACCTGGCCAAGACCAATTTTTAAAATTTAAGACACTTCAAAGATGCAAAATAATTTCAGAACTGATTCCTGGAAACTTGTAATTTTAATACTAAAGATAGTTCTGTTTTTATCTTTCCATGGATAACTAAAAATAACACAAAATGGAAACAGAAATGCCCATCCTTGATTAAACTAGGAAACATTCAAAACCCAAAACCACAGAATATATGAAGTTGGGCTTGTAGGAAAGCACAGCTGCCACTGCAGACCAAGGCAGCAAGCAGAGCTCTCCAGCAACACTGGACCAGCTCAAAGAACAGGTGGAATATCCTCACACCACATCTGATGCCAGAGTGCCAAGGGACAAGCAGCTGGTTGTAGGGTCAGGAATAAAAGGGAGCAAACAGTCCCTCAGCTGCCAATCTTTGCCATCTAAGCCAGTGTCACTCCCCTAATCCACACACGCACGTACACACCCAAATCCACGTACTGTGTGTGCCTCTGCTGTACTCAGGAGGCTTTGACAACCCAGAGCAGAGCAATCAACATAAGCTAGACTAAATAAATTATGGTGCATCCACAGAATGGAATGTTATATTAAAAAGAAGGAGGCAGAGCTACAGTACTTACTGATTATATACCTTCAAGTATATTACATGAAAAGAGCAAAGCATAGAACAGTGTATAAAATAAGCTACCGTTTGTGTTTTTAAAGGGTGGCATGTGTGTTTATATGTATCTGGAAGGATATACATATATATAAAGGTCTGCAGGGACCTGAGAGACCAGAGGTTACAGCAAGGAAAGAGAAAATGCGCATTGTGTGTACCGTGCATTACAGTTAGAGTGCTTTACCAAATGTGTGTGCTCCTTTTGAAAATCTTAAGATTTACATAGGCATCTCTCTCAATGATGGTTAAGAGGCTGGGAAGGGGAGCAGGGAGGGAGGGACAAAGAGGGAAAGGTTAACAGGTACAAAAACACAGTTAGATAGAATAAATTCTAGTGTCCAACAGCACAATAGGGTGACTATAATTTATTATATAATTCAGAATAACTAAAAGAATGAAATTAAAATGTTCCTAACACAAACAAATGATAAATGTTTGAAGTGACGGATCTCTGAATTACCCTGATTTGATCATCACACATTGTATGCTTCTATCAAAATACTACATGTACCCCATAAATATGTACAACTATTATGTATCCATAATAACTAAAAATAAAAAAATGTAAATGCATCTCTTAATATGTATGTGTTTAAAATTAGAAACTTGCTACATTTTAAATAAAAGAGAAACAAATGACTTCTATGAACTATTCAATCATTTCAAGTATACAAGTTTAGTAATCTTTACACAACTTTACATTAATTACACTTATTTTTACTAATAGTAGCATTACATGTTCAAAATTTGAATGTTATTTAGTTTTCTGACATTACAATGGCACAACTTTAAAATCTGTATTACTTTTTCCTTTATATTTTAGGAGTCTTCCTAGGCCAAAGTATAAAATCTGTAGCTCTAGCAAAAACTAAATAAAAATGAAAAAAACAAGGTATCTGTCACCCTACACCTCCTAATCAATATGGCTTATTTTTTTGCTAATTTTTTTTTTTTTTTTTGAGACAGAATTTCACTCTTGTTGCCCAGGCTAGAGTGCAATGGCACGATCTCGCCTCACCGCAACCTCCATCTCCTGGGTTGAAGCGATTCTCCTGCCTCAGCCTCCTAAGTAACTGGGATTACAGGCATGCACCACCTCACCCGTCTAATTTTGTATTTTTAGTAGAGACGGGGTTTTTGCATGTTGGTCAGGCTGGTCTCGAACTCCCGACCTCAGGTGATTCACCCACTTCGGTCTCCCAAAGTGCTGGGATTACAGGCATGAGCCACTGTGTCTGGCCTTTTTTTTTTTTTTTTTTTTTTTTGCTAATGTAAAAGATCATAGAATATCAGAGATAGTGAACATTATCATTTCCATAAATGTACATTTTCCACACGCTGAGTACTATCTAAATTTTCTATTGATAAACTCTGACCACTTCTTCAGGCAATTCATGTACTTACTTTAGCATTATCATTAAGGATGAAGGTTCTAGAACCATCAGGAACAAGGGTCCCATCTTCACACAAGTTACTTAACTGCTGGGAGGCTCTATTTCATCTTATGTAAACTATAGATAATACCTACTCACCTCAAGGGTGTATCAAGGGTTTATGTAAGCTAAATTTGGATCCAGGAAGGATCCAAGAAGAAATGGTACTTACTATGATATATTTGTACATATATATGTATGAATGTTAATGAGCTCTTATTAGCTGTGTTCATTAAAGGTTTTCTCCATCCTGTGATCTGCTTTTAGATTTTGGAACACATTTCATTGTGCACATTCCATTTGTATTATTAATATGACAACATTTATTACTATTATTATTATCATCATCAATTCAATCACATCTACTATATCCCTGATAATGACCATGATCCTTTTAATAATCACAAAACTCTCTTCCCTTCATCACGGGGTAAATAACCTATCACAATGCTGTAAGTCTCCATCAGCACCCCAGGCTGCCCCTGCTCACTTACCAGATCTGCTACTTCAGCCAGATCAATCATCATGTTAATGTCACACCCACATTCAATAATGGTGAGTCTGCGCTTTTTACCTATAAGTGAAAAGATGAAAATTTTACTTTAAAAAGACCCTGAAAAAACTCTAACCATCAACTCTTAATTTTCATTTTTTAACTGCATCCAGTAAAACACCACATACGTTTACAGGAGTGTACCAGAAGTTCATTTTTATAGGCAAAAACTGGTAAAATAAATTCCATCCTGTTTTTCTTCCTGTGTTCTAAATTTAGATAATATCAAAAGCCTACCCAGATGAATAAAAGTGCTGAAAACAGGGAAAATTCTGACTAGACAGGCTCCACGATAACCATGATCTTGCTGTTCAGCTGCAGGCCAATGTCTTCACCTCTATCAAAATTTCCTGTATTCCCACTATCGCTAAAAACATCCTCAAACATAATGCAACAGAATATTTACAATGATAATTATTTCTAAATTAAGGTAATAAGAAAATGATCAAGAAAATATTGGCTGGGCACAGTGGCTCATGCCTGTAGTCCTGGCACCTTGGGAGACCAGGGCAGGTGGATCCCTTGAGCCCAGGAGTTTTGAGACCAGCCTGGGCCACATGGGGAAATCCCATCTCTACAAAAACATAAAAATTTAAAAAAAGGAAAAAAAAGAAAAATTAGCCAGGCATGGTGGCATACACTACTCACAGGAGGCTAAGGTAGGAGGATTGCTTGAGCCTGGGAGGTTAAGGCTGCAGTGAGCTGTAATCACACCACTGCATTCCAGCCTGTGCCACAGAGCAAGACTCTGTCTCAAAAAAAGGAAAATAAAATATGGATGCGCCAAAGATAAAGAAAAGCCTCAATCCAACTATATTACTGCAATAATAAGAGATTTCAGAGTGTACATTGCCATTCTACCACTGGATGTTTGTTTCATCTTCCCTCAAACTTGGAAAGGTCACCATCTCCCAAAGCAGACAAATTCTCATAGGAAAAAGAGAAAACGCGCACTTCCACCAGCATGTGGCTTCATAAGGGCAAGCATGTGCACCTGGCACATAGGAGGTACGTGCTGTCTGTTAAATGGTGTGTTCGCAGTGACCAGGCCTGTCAGGCCCTTCCAAGGAACATGCTTGGCAAAGCCATAGAGCAGTCAGGATAAGGTATGTATCACATCCTTATCTCTGGGAACTTATCCTTTTATGAAGTTATAGCTAACTTAGTAAAAGTAAGAGAGAGGTAACATGATATGACAATATTTAACATGTTCCACTCAAGAAAACAACAAACACACGCATGTCCCTCAGATGACAACAGCCACGCCAAGTCTGTGTCTGTGGCACCATCTCCTACCTGACACGATCGTCACAGGGCCTCTGATCTCGGTGAACTTCTGCCAGGTGAAGTTCCGAATGAGGCATTATATCAAAGTGCTCTTTCCAACTTTGGAGGCCCCGTCACCACTACCGGTATTGGTGGCAGCTCTAGTGGAGTTCCATCAACCACTGGAATATGATGCTTTTGTGTCTTCAAATCCAGAGTCCTATTTATTTAAAAAAGAAAAAAAAAGTAAACTCACTTTTAAAATAGAGTAAAAGGTATCAACCTTATAAGTAGACTTTTTTTTAGTATAATTACAGATATGAGTACTTTAGTATATTTTATAGAGAGTACAACAGACAATATAAAAATATAAGTAACTTGTCAATTATTAACTTCTGACCCCTATCCAAATCAATTGCTGTTCAATAAAGATGTAACAAGATGACTTCAATAGTATAGAGTTGAAAATTAAACACTCCTTAAATCTGACTGTTTTATGAGTGATTTTTATAGTTTTTTAAAAAACAAAAGGTAAATACTGAGGCAGCGCATCATAACAGATAAGAGCAGAGGTTCTGGAGTTAAATTTGGCTCTCCGACTTACTGGTTGTATGATTGGAGGTAACTTGTTTTCTTGACCTCAGTTTTCTTGTCCATAAAATGAGGGCAAGAATGATTCCTACTCTGGTAAGGCTGCTGGAAGGATTTAGTTGAATAACGTTTAAAGTACACTGCTAAGAATATCATAAGGACTCACTAAATAAAGCTATGTTAGTATTACATATTGTAATTTTTGTATTTTATATTACAACTTTGTAAAACATATCCAGAGGGAAAAAGCACACTTATCACCATAGAAACAGTTTAAAGTTTAGGAAGAATCAAATTCTATAAATTCTTGTATCTTGGGCAAGAAACACCAACCAGTGTGCAGATGCTGGAGGCAAGGCAGCTTCTATGGCAAGTCTTCTCACGTTTTAGTAAAAGTCACACAGCATGCATCTCCACGTCCTTTGGAGCTGGACTAGACTTGTGAATCCAAATGTCACCTGTGAGAGGCTCCTAACTATTTAAAAAGATTCAATGGAAGAACCATCAGACTGTAGCTAAACACACCTGTGAAAGGATCGAGACATCCACACAGCAGACTGAACTGCAAAAGCATTGGCATTTCTCTTCTGGGCATTTTCTTCGTCTCCTAGCTGGAGATCCTGCAGATGCCACTTCTTTTTCTTTGCAGCTTTGGGTCCACTGTTTTTCTTTCTGTGTTTCTTCTGGTCCTTAGTCTCCATAGTGGCTATTTACCGCAGCTAGAGAGAAAGGTCAGCTTACTTACAAAGGAAATCCCATCAGGCTAGGAGTAGACCTCTCAGCAGAAACTTACAAGTGAGAAGAAACTGTGGACCTATTTTCAGCATTATTAAATAAAATAAACTCCAAACAATAATTTGATATTCTTCCAAAGAAAGCTTCATAAGCAAAGGAGAAATAAAATCCTTTTCAGACAATCAAAGCTAAGGAAATTCATGAGCACTAGACCAGTCTTACAAGAAGTCCTTAAGGAAGTGCTAAATGTGGAAATGAAAGAACAGTACCTGGCACCACAAAAACACAAGTACATGGCCCACAGACACCATAAAGGAGATACACAATCAAATCTACAAAGCAACCAGCCAACAATGTGATGACAGCATCAAAATCTCACATATTGATATAAACCTTGAAGGCAAATGGTCTAAATACCCAACTTAAAAGGCTTAGGATGGCAAAATGGATTAAAAAAATAAGGCCCAACCATATTCTGTCTTCAAGAGACCCATCTCACATGTAAGAACACCCACAGGCTCAAAGTAAAGGGATGGAGAAAGATCTATCATGCAAATGGAAAACAAAACGAAAGCAGGGGTCACTATTCTTATATCAGATAAAACAGACTTTAAACCAACAATGATCTAAAAGGACAAAGTAGGGCATTACACAGTGACAAAGGGAAAAATTCAAAAAGAAGAGTTAACTATCTTAAATATACACACAGCTAACATTGGAGCACCCGGATTCATAAAACAAGTTCTTCTGGACCTATGAAAAGACTTAGTCACACAATAATATTGGGAGCCTTCAACACCCAACTGGCAGGATTAGAGAGATCATCAAAGCGAAAAATTAATTAATAAAGAAATTCTGGTCTTAAATTCAACACTTGACCAATTGGACTCAATAAATATCTACAGACTAGTCCACTCCAAAACCATAGGATATACAGTCTTCTTATCTGCACATGGAATATACTCTAAGATCGACTATATGCTCAGCCATAAAGCAAATCTGAAAAAGATTAAAAACACTGAAATCATCTCAAGCATACTCTCAGACCACAGTACAATAAAAACAGAAATTACTACCAAGAAGATCTCCCAAAACTACACAATTACTTGGAAATTAAACAACTTGCTCCTAAATGACTTTTGGGTAAACAAATGAATTCAGAAATCAAAAAAATTCTTTGAAATTAATGAAAACAGAGACAAAACAAATCAAAATCTTTGGGATGCAGCTAAAGCAGTGCTAAGAGTATAGTTTATAGTGCTAAATGCCTACATCAAAGAAGTTAGGAAGATCTTAAATGAACAACCTGATGTCTCACCTAGAGAAACTAGAAAAAAAGAACGAATCAATCCCAAACTAGCAGAAGAAAACAAATAACCAAAATCAGAGCAGAACTGAATGAAATTAAGATGGAAAAATGCATACGAAAGATCAACAAACAATTTTTTTTTTTTGAGATGGAGTCTCGCTCTGTCTCCCAGGCTGGAGTGCAGTGACACAATCTCAGCTCACTGCAACCTCTGCCTCTTGGGTTCAAGCAATTCTCCTGTCTCAGCTTCCCAAGTAGCTGGGACTGCAGGTGCATGCCATCACACCTGGCTAATTTTTGTATTTTTAGTAGAGATGGGGTTTCGCCATATTGATCAGGCTGGTCTCGAACTCCTGACCTCAGGTGATCCACCCGCCTCGGCCTCCCAAAGTGCTGGGATCACAGGCATGAGCCACCGCGCCTGGTCTGTTTTTTGAAAGAATAAACAAAATTGATAGACTGCTAGCTAAACAACAAAAAAAGGAAAATCTAAGCCCAATCAGAAATGACAAAGATGACATTACAACTAATCCCACAGAAATATAAAAGATCTTCAGAGATTATTATAAATATCTATGCACACGAAAAATAGAAAATCTAGAGGAAATGAGTAAATTCCTGAAAACTCCCAAGATTCAACCAGGAAGAAATTCCTGTTCAAGAAAACCTGAACAGACCAATAATGAATTCCAAAAGTGAATCAGTAATAAAAATCCTACCAACCAAAAAAAGCCCTGGACCAGACGGATTCACAGCTAAAGTCTACCACATGTACAAAGAAGAACTGCTACCAATCCTACTGAAACCATTCCAAAAAATTCAAGGAGGAGGGACTCCTCTCTAACTCATTCTATGAAGCCATTATCAACTTGATACCAAAATCTGACAGAGACACAATGAAAAAAAAGTTCAAGCCAATATCCCCGATGAACATAGAGGCAAAAAAAAAAAAAAATCCTCAACAAAATACTAGCAAAACAAATGTAACAACACATCAAAAAGATAATGCACTATGACCAAGTGGGATTTATCCCCAGAATGCAAGTATAATTTGACATATGCAAATCAATAAATGTGATATATCAACAGAATGAATGACAAAAACCATATGAGAATCTTAATAGATGTGGAAGAAGCATTTGATAAAATTCAACATGCTTTCATGATAAAAAAAAAAACTCTAAACAAATGAGGCATAGAAGGAACATATCTAAACACAATAAAGACGATATATGACAAACACACAGCTAAGATCATACTGAATGGGGAAAAGCTCAAAGCCTTTCTTCTAAGAACTGGAAAACAGGTCAAGAATGCCCACTTTTACCACTCTTATTCAGTATAATGTTGGATGTCCTAGCCATTGCAATTAGTCAAGAGAAAGAAATAAGGGGCATCCAAATTGGAAAAAAAGGAAATTAAATTGTCCTTCTTTGCATGTAACATGACTATATATTCATATATTCATATATATATGTATATATATATATATCCCCCAAAACTAATGACTCTACCAAAACACTCTAAGAACTAATAAACTAATTCAGTACAGTTGCAGGATACAAAGTCGACATACAAAAATCAGTGATATTTCTAGACTCCAATAACAAACTAGCTGAAAGGAAATAAAGAAGGTGATCTTATTTACAATAGCTATTAAAAAAAAAAACACCTAGGATAAATTTAACCAAAAAAGTAAAAGACTTCTATGAGGAAAACTATAAAACACTGATGAAAGAAATGAAGAGGACAGAAACAAATGGAAATAATCCTATGCTAATGAATTGGAAAATGGAATACTATGCAGCCATAAAAAAAGAGTGACATCCTGTCATTCACAGCAATATGGACAAGTCTGGAGAACATTGCATTAAGCAAAACAAGGCAGGCACAGAAAGATAAATACTGCATGTTCTCATTTATATATGAGAGCTAAAAAATCAAACTCATGGAAGTCAAGAGTAGAACTGTGGGTATTAAAGATGATAAGGAAAGGTTGGCTAACAAATACAAAATTAAGCTAGATAGGAGGAATGAGCTCTGGTGTTCTGCATCACTGTAGGGCAAATATGGTTAATTATAATTTATTGTATATATTTAAAGAGCTAGGAGAGAAGATTTTTGATGTTCACAACACAAAGAAATGACAAATGTTTGAGGTGATGCATATGTTAACTACCTTGATCTGATCACTACACATTGTATACATATATCTAAATATCACTCTCTGTACCCCACAAATATGTACAATTATTACATGTCAACTAAAAATAAAAGGAAAAACAACATAGATGGAATCATTTTAACAGATAAAACTTGAGAATAAAAATAATCATAAAGGAAATATTGTAATCATCACATCTGATTCCTGTGTCTATCTCTTAGCTGGTTCCAAATTAAAAACAAAAGTAAAGGATTGTGAATTATTGACTCAAACTCAATTATATTACTATGTTTATTTTGCAAATGAGAAAACTAGATTTGAGAGAGGATGAGCAATTTACCCAAAGTCACCAAAATCTAAAGTATGTGGCAAAACAGGCAGTCAAACAGGGACCCCTCATTAACTCAGAAGTCTACATTTTTTCTCACATTCTTATGTGCTTGTCACTTATATTCATTAAAAACAGGCACATTCCATCAACATTCTCTAGTAAGAGTCTAAACACCCCGTGTAAGATACAGGGAAGGAAAAGGAAATGGAACTCACATTTTCTGTGTATCTATTATGTTCCAGACACTGTCCTAAGCCATTATTTACAATACATACTTTAATCCTCACAAACACCCCCAGGAACCTGCAGCAAGTTCGGTGAGAATCAGGTATCCAAAGCTCATGTGCTTTTGATTTACTAAGTTGCTTTTGAAGACCAAATATTAGTCTTCCAAATGATCAGGCTATTAAATGTAGTGTGTAAACACCAACAGCATCAGTGTATCTGCTTGATTCACACACTTACTGAACAGTTCTTTACGATGGCACAGAACACGACATCCACACATAGGAACACCCCTGTCCGGCCTATGCCGGCACTGCAGTGAACAACCATGGGTCCTGTAAGGTGGCTCTTCCTTGCATAACGAATATATTTTATGAAGCTATCTGCTGAGGCAGGAGTGCCATGGTCTGGCCACTTGGTGAACTGCAACTGTTTTACAGAGTGACTAGTTCCCGTCTGTTAGAGAAAGAAACAGAGCGAGAAAGACATTTATTGATTTCTTATATTAGAGACCTCACGCCAACTTCTAATATTCAAATGATAATAATAATGGCTATATGGTATTACCTTGGTATTATATAGAACTTTCAAAAAGTACTCAAACCTCTTTTTGATGTTTATAAGAATTCTGGAAGTTGCTAGGAATAGAGGTTTTCTCCATTTTACAAAGGAGAGCACAGTAACAACAATAAAAATACCAGTATTAACAGGTAACAAAAATTAAGCACTTGCTATGTGGCAGTTACTATGCTAGGGGCTTCACATGAATTCTCTCCTTTAATCTTCACATCAACCATGTGAGATAGGCACCATTTTATCTCCATTTTACAGATGAAAATTTAAGGATGAGGGGGACGAGAGATGTATGCTAGGTCAGAAGGTTCACACGTTTAGAGCTGGAACTGTAATGTAGGTGTCTTGAATTCTAATCTACCATCATTCTTCTGTACCATGAGGCTACAGGAAAACCAAGATTTCAAAATGCTTAGAGTGAGAGATGGACTGTCATGTTAGGAATAAGACCAAAAGGCAAAGTATCTTAGTTTAGAAATGACATATGAAATTTAATTAAGACATATAGGTGTCTGACAAGAGAGGCACCGATCTCTTCCAGCGATGAAGACAGGGTAGTCAATGACCATGAGAGTAGATTGTGGGTCCCACTATTGTGCTGAGCCCCCTTGAAGTGGAGTCATGAAACTCTTCCCAGCATTGTCAGATAAAGCACTTTGAATTTACCTATATCTCATCCAAAGGGATCATGACCCTTTCCTCAGTGTGGGGCCCTTATTTTATCACACATGGGACCCTAATGGAAGAACTCAAAATGAGTTTCTCACTTCTCCTATGCTTCTCCCGAATGCACCTCTTTTTCCTAAGCTTCCTGAATAAAGATGCTAGTGCTCAGAGCTCTATTCTAATCCACAGTGTCGACTGAAATTTGTGATAGTTAATTTTATCTGTCAACTTGGCTGAGCCCTGGTATCCAGATACTAGGCCAAATATTATTTTGTGCCTCTGTGAAGGTATTTTTTAGGTGAGATTAACATTTAAATTGGTAGAATTTGAGTAAAGCAGGTTATTCTCCATAAAGTGGGTTGGCTTCATCTAATCAGCTGAAGGCCTTAAGAGAACAAAAACTGACCTCCCATGAGCAAGAAGGAATTCTACCAGCAGATTGCTTTTGGACTCAAACTCCAATTCTTCCCTGGGTCTTCAGCCTACTTTCCCACCCTGCAGATTTGCCAACCCTCCACAATCACTTGAACCAACTCCTTAAAATTAATCTCTCTCTCTGGATCAGTCCCATAACCTGTATTCAGGGATCTCAATGTTATACTGCTAGAAAAATACACATAATCACATATTTTGTTGCTACTACAAATGTATGGGTCAAACCTCAGCATCACTCAGCAACCCTTTTCCTGGTGATTGTGCTCCAATCAACTTCTTTGGTGATGACTCCAAAACTCACCATTCTCTGCAAGTTTCCTGTTCAACTCCTATTCCCTTCACTCGTGTTAACACATGTATCACCTACCTGCCAACTGAATCCACTAGAGCAATCTAACTCATTGCTTTCTCCTATAAACCATTCCTTTTCTGTTTTCTAAGTCTATTAGACCAAGGAATCCATGAATTATTCTAGACCAATGCTTCTCAACAGAACTTCCTATACTGAAGCAAATGTCTTAAATAGTGGCAATATAGTAGCCACTATCAACATGCCACTCATAAGCCCTAAAATGTGGCTACTTGCAGGTGAGGAACTCAATTTGTTATTTTACATAAATTTAAATAACTTAAATTTAAACTTAAATATCCACATGTGGTTACTGTATTGAATATATTTTCAACCCCTCCTCTGTCACTTATAAATCATAAGTCATAAGTCACGTATGTCTCCCAATTTTATCTGCAAAACACTTGCGTCTGTGCTTTCCACCCCCATGCCAACAGCCGTAGTTGATCATGTCACTTACTAAAATTCTTCAATGTCTCCCAATTATCTTCATAATAAAGTTCATGCTACTTAGCTGAAATTTAAGACATTTCACATTCTAGCTGGCCCCTGCTTACTTTTGAGAACATCATCTCATCTTTTATTACTCCCTGGCACTGAACTTTTACATTTCAGAAACACTTAACTACTTATATTTGTCTCTACACACACCTTATGCTATTTTATATTTTGATCATCTACTTTCTCCCTCCATCTTTTTCATTTGCATAATTCTCAAAACAAATGCCACCTCCTCCAGTAAACCTGTCTCAAAACCCCAAGTAAAGCCAAGTGTTTACCTTCTGAGCCCCAAAGTGCCCAAGACATATCTCAACATTATCACTGAACACGGTAAGTTAGGTATCTATCAGTGAGTGTAACCAACCTCTCCACTATTCGGTAAGTACTGATAGTGCCTGGCCCAGTGATTAGCATACTTTAAGGACTCAATACGTATCTGCTACATTTGGCAGAGGCAGGTATAACCCAGAATCAGACAACTTCAACAGTCACTCTCCCTGCCCCACCTCTCTTTTCCAATTTTTTCTTCTCCACAGAATCTGGTTGAGGAGAAGTAGAAGTGGTGGTGGCTTCTGGTACCAGGGACAAGTAAAAAGTTACTTAAGAAGTATCATCGATCGATTTTCCATCCTACTCCTAACTTCTAGTTCTAAGACATCTGCTTATGTGGTGAAACATATATCTAATACTGATGTTTAAAAACTTACGGACTTCTCCACAACTTGAAACATTCGAATGATGAAATATTGAAGTATCTGGTAGTTCTCCAGGAATACACGGAAGTGTTTCAATTCCAATGGCTTCTTCAGAGAAATGGGCCAGTAATGGTAGCATTTGATAATTCCACCTTCTATCTCTCTGGTTATCATGGCAATAACATTCGAATTATTTTCCAACACCATTTGCCAAAAGTCATCTATGGTGCTCAGCAGTGGTCCTTGAGTAGCGATATAAAAATACTCTTCTCCACAATTGACTATTCTAATATAACTAGCATTGATGTAGTCCTTGCTTTTTCCAAGAGGAACGTGTGTTGAATCATCTATTACAGAAACAGAAACATCTGGTAGATAAAGGTGGGAGATACATCACACCCAGACTTCACGAAAGGATTTCACACATGTAAATCCATATATCTCTTTGACCAATAGAGAAGATGGCCTAGGAGTTTCTTTTCAAAATGGTTGAGTCCATGAGTTTAAATTATTTCCTCCCTGAAAACTATTGGCATGACCGAAGAAATATACAATTATGGGATGTTTATTTTTCAAATCAGTTTTTAATAAATGCAGAATGATATCATTAGCATCCAGGTACTTTTGGAAATTTCTGCTAGAAGTGGCATGGGCAAGGTTAAGTCAAGGGAAGTATCCTATAGTTTGCAACTGAACACAACAGAGGAGAAACTCTTTGTGGGAGTAAATGAGTGATATTATCCTGCAAATCTGAAACCTGCAAACCCAGAGCAGCAGGAGCCAGGGGAAAAAAAAAATCTGATAGTTGACTGCAGACAAATTCTAGGATTAATGGAATTCCACCACTGTCCCCAAACTAGACAGCCATATTTTATGTCCATTCTCAGCCTTCATCTGGTGATAGGACATGTTATTCAAAGCAAAGATATTGTGGCAAAAGGATGCTACCAAGGGGAATTGCTCCAAGTAATATGGGACTCATCTAACATGGACTGTTATAACAAATACGAGAGGGAAAACCAGCTATTTGGCCTACTAACCTTCACTGCTCCAGGAGTTCCTTCTTCACCTGATACAGACATCTGAAGCTCTGGTTCCACCACCATCCCCACACTGAGAGCAGAAACACACACAGCAAAGGAGGCCCTTCTCTGCCATGCAGCTCTCTCACCAATAACCTCTCCTTACTACTCAGAATCACATGGACCACTTATCTAGTAAATATGCTGACAAGACCTGAACAGGCATTTATATAATATCTGGCAGAACTCTTCTCAAATTTTAACATAGCACACAGAAACTTTCCCTTGTAAATATGAATGAACAGAAAAAAACAGCCAGGTGCGGTGGCTCACATCTATAATCCCAGTTACTCAGGAGACTGAGGCAGGAGAATCGCTTGAACCAGGGAGGCGGAGGCTGCAGTGATCTGAGACCGTGCCACTGTACTTCAGCCTGGGTGACAGAATGAGTGAGACTCCATCTCAAAAAAAAAAAAAAAAAAAAAAACGCTAGATATATAAAGATACCCGGTATTTCAAAAAGGGAGACCATTCTAAAAAATCACAACAAATATTCTCCTTTCTATAAAAGAAGATAACACCTTAAAAACTCCTATTTGTATATTAAATAAAATTCAAGAGAGCATTATTTAAAACAATACTTTATACCTATGTTTACTAACAAATATGTTATATTACTAAATTATAAAGGTGATAACAATGGCTTTGTATGGAGATCTTTCATCATATTTATGTAGATATATGATGATATATGTCATATAATAATAATAAGCCTGGCAAGTGTTCATCACAATGTTAGCAGTAGTTATTACAGTATCTAAACCATATAAATTACTTCATAGTAAAAAAAGCATTTTTTAAATTTTGAAATGAGATTAAATATGTGAAAATTAAATAATCTAAAATAATAAAAGCTTGATTTCATATAAAAGTCACAATCATTCAACTCAAACTCCTAAAGCAGGAATTGAACAGAAAAACAAATTTATGTTTAGAAAATCAGCTTAAAAAATTTTCCCAGAACTCAGAAAAAAAAGATTAAAAAAACCTACAATAATGATTAAAATGGTAAAAGACACAGTGCATACAAGGGGAATGTAAAAAACGAATTTCAGAAGCAAACTGTGGAATTCACTGCAGAAAAGAAATAATTCAAGTGATCATAGGAAAGCTCCCTAAACAGAAGCAGGAGTACTAACAGAATGCAGTGAAACATGCATACCAGGTTCAAGCAGCATGATACGCTACATGTATCACCTTGTCAACTCCAAAACAAACCTTTGAGGGAGGTGCTATTATATTCATACTTTTCAAATAAAGAATCTGTACAAAGTAACTTGTTCCATATTACGCAGCAATCTTCTAGACTCCACAGACTAGGTAAATCTAGACTCTGGTCCAAAAATAATTCCATGCTCTGTTGTCCATCAAGGAAGACTCAAGTTTGCAGACAGAAAGGCCTAAGTGTCAGACAACATTAATGAAGAGAGCCACTAAGACCCCTAGACCAGCAGAGCATAAGGCCACAGGAACAGGAACAGGAAGCAAAAATTATGCTAATGGATGACTAGGGGTAATGGCAACTGGTGCCACTCCCATTTCCACCCCTTGATTCTTGAATCTTGGCTATGGTAGAAACAGCATCATATATTGGATGCTGACATGGGGCATGTATAATCTCCTGAAGAACATTACCCCAGCCCTGCAAGGTACTGCCACCTAGCTTTCACTGTAATTGAGTCTTCAAAAGGCCATTCATCCATTCTGTCAAGCCAGCCGCTTTGAGAGGATAAGGAATATGGTAACATAGTGGCAATGAGGCCATTGCCACAAGGTATTTGCCACAAAGTGAGTTCTTTGATTACAGCAATGCTGTATGGAATACCATGATGGTGGATAAGGCATTCTGTAGGTCCACAGATGGTAAATTGGTGGGAGCACTGTGTGCAGGGAAGGCAAATCCATACCCAGAGTTACTGTCTATTCTAGTAAGAAAAAAGCACTGCTCCATGCATTATGGAAGTGGTCCCAGTGTAATCAACCTGCCATCAGCTAGCTGGCTGATCATCCCATGGAATAGTGCCCATCAGGTACTCAATGTTGGTCTCTGTTGCTGGCAGATTGGACACTCAGTAGCAGCTGTAGCCAGGTCAGCCTTGGTGAGTGGAAGTCCATGTTGCTGAGCTCATACATAACCTCCATCCCTGCCATTATGGCCACTTTGTTCATGAGACCTATGGGCAATGACACAATGACAGGGGTGACTGGGGGTATAGTCTAGCTGATATTCATAGAGCATGTCACTCTATTCACCTGATTATTAAAGTCTGCCCCTGCTGAGATCAACCTTTGGTGAGCATTCACATGGGATACAAATATCTTTGTGTTTGTGCCTATCTAGCAAGATCTATTCACGTGCCTCTTCCCCAGACCTTATTGTCACCAATTTTTCCAACCATGTTCCTTAAAATTCCCTGACCATCCAGCTAAGCCATTAAACATAGCCCATGAATCAGTACACATTTATACGTCTGGCCATTTCTCCAAGCAAAAAACAAAAAAACAAAAAGCACCAAGTGCACTACCCAATGTTCTGCCCACTGGGAGTTATTTCTCTTCACCACTGTCCTTCAGAGATGTCTCAAAAAAGGGGCTGTAGTGCTATAGCTGTCCTCTTCTGGCTGGTACCTTTATATCACGCAGAACCTTCTGTAGACCAGGTCCAAGTCTTCTCTTCTTCTGTCAGCTGATCATAGGCAACTCCTCATGAGACAACAGGTGCTGGCTGAAGAGAGCAGGTAATGTAGCAGGGGTGGGAACAGTGAGCATTTGGGCAGCTTCTTCGTGTAACTTATTTGTGCCTTCAGGATCTGCTCAAGCCCAATGTTGTATCTACCACTTTCATTTGATGGTGGAGTGCTGCTGTGTATGCCCAACTTTATGGCTTGGTGGCCCATAGTTAAGCATTCTCTACTTAGTTCTCTATGAAGCAGTCTCTACCAAGGCCCAGTAGCAGGCCAAAAGCTGTTTCTCAAAAAGAGAGTCCAGAGAGGGTGGCAGGAATTTGCTCTAAAATCCTACGTGCCTGCACTGTGATTCATCTAAAGGGGTCTGCCAAAGGTCCAAACAGCACCCTTATCTGCCAATGACACTTCAAGCACCACTGGATCTGCTAGATCATACAGCCCACGTGGCAGAGAGGCTTGCATGGCAGACTGATCCTGTTTCAGAGCCTTCTCTTGTTTTGGGCCCCACTCAAAACTAGCAGCTTTTCACATCACTTAGTAAATGGACCAGAGTAGCACATCAAAATAAGGAATGTTTCCTCCAAAACGCCCTGGTTCACTAGCCATTGTGCCTCTTTTTTGCTTGTAGGAAGAGCCAGATACAATTTATCCTTCACCTTATGATTATCTCCACATGTCCCACAACACTGGACCTCTAGAAATTTCACTGAAGTAGAAGGCCACTGAATTTTTGTTGGATATATCTCCTACCCTCTGACAGACAAATAAGACTAAAGCATTTGCTGCTTCTTGTTCACTAGATCCAATCAGCACAATGCCATCAATGTAATAAACCTCTGTAATATCCTGTGGAAGGGAAAGGTGATTGAGATCCCTGAGAACTAAATTACAACATAGGGCTGAAGAGTTAATACACCCCTGAGGTAGGACAGTGAGGGTGTATTGTTGGCCCTGCCAGCTGAAAGTAAACTACTTTTGGTGTTCTTGATTAATAGGTATAGAGAAAAAAGCATTTCCCAGATCAATAGCTACATAGCAGGTATGAAGAGATGTGCTGATTTTCTAAGGCAATGAAACTATATCTGGTATAGCAGCTGCAACTAGAGTCACCATCTGAGGAAGCTTACAATAATCCACTGTCATTCTCCAAATTCCATCTCTTTTTTGTGTAGGTCAAATAGGTGAGTTGAATGGGATGTGATAGATATCAACATCACTTCATCCTTAAAGTCCTTGATGGAGGCATTAATATCAGCAATCTCTTCAGGAATGTAGTATTGCTTTTGCTTTTTTACTATTTTCCTAGGTAGAATCAGTTCTACTGGCTTCCACTGGCCCTTTCCTGCCATAATATTCCTCACTCCACAGGTCAGAGAAGCAATGTGGGGATTCTACCAGTTTCTGAGTATGTTTATTCCAATTATTCATTCCAGGGCTTGGAAAATAATCACAAGATGGTTTTAGGGACCTACTGAGTCCACTGTGAAATGAACTTGAACTAAAGCTCCATTGACTATCTGACCTCCATAAGCCCCTGCTTTGATTTGTAGACCACAGTGATGTTTTGGGTCTCCTGGAATTGGTGTCAGTTCAGAGCCAGTGTCCAGTAGTTTCTGAAAGTTCTGACTATTTTCTTTTTCCAAATGTACAGTCACCCTGGCAAAAGGCTATAGATCCCTTTGGAGAAGGCTGAAAGATTAACAGTATACATTTTTAGCAGTGTGCCAGGGTCCTCCCTTTCATTCAAGGTGTTCTCTGTGTGTAAACCGGCTCAAGTCTGGGAAGTTATTGACTGGTTGTGATTCTCTGTTCCTATGGTTCAGGTTAGAATTTTGCTCACTTGACCTAGAACTCTTCTGCTTACACCTATCAAGGAAGAATTCAGTAGACATCCCATCTAGTTCACTTCTAGGAACACCATGATCAACTAATCAACACCACAGGTCTCTACAGGTCAGACTGTTCTGATTGCTGCTTTGACTCTGCTATTACCATACCATGCTCACCTTGCCTTTGGCTATCAAGTGCCACCACCTGGCCCTTATCTCTCTGGGATCCAATTATACCCACTGCATTCAGGTTTCCCAACTCAGTGGCAGCAATTTCCACTGCAATATCTGAACTACAGAGAAGAACAATCACAGTATTCTTCAAGGATTCTGGGACTCGCCTCACAAATATATTTCTCACAGTTATGAGAAAAGTACATCCTCTGGACCTCCTGGGGTGGGTTGGCAGGTCTTAAATGATAAACCTAATCTAATATTCCAATCTCCCTAATCCTTTGGATCACAGTATATAGTATATCGAGGCAGTTCTGGCATTTTATCTTCATTTAGACTGGGCCACCTTTTGGTCCATTTAATACAACCAACCAAATAAACTGTAAGAGCTCTTTCTAACTCCCTAATCCACATATTAAGTCCAGAATCTCTTCTTTGTGGTCCCATTTCAATAAATTCAGCCTGATCAAACACTAAGTTCCTTCCACCATTGTCCCACACCCTTAAAATCCCTCCCCACAAATATTTCCCAGATTTCTGTCAGTATAAATTGGAAAAATCATGTAGCTCTTTTGTAGTGTAACATACCTCCCCATGGGTCACACTTTGTACCTTACCTTTAAGGGCCTGCTGGGACTTGAGTCTAGTTATAGGTCTAGAAGCAATGAAGGATGGTAGCTGTGAGTCTTGAGAAGAATCAGCAATGTCTTGCAAGGCAACAAACTCAGGGGAGGTAATAAAAGTTTCCTCAGGTAAAGTAGCATTAATCTCCTCAGATGGGGGTGGCATGGCTGCTTTTACTGGCAAGGAAGACTCATCAGGGTCAAGGGGTTCGATACACCCAGCTTTATAAGGCTCTTCACATATGTCTGCACTCCAGTTTTCAAGATCCCATTCCTTCTCAGTTAATGCCCTCATTTTAACAGCAGACACCCTAAAAGGGTGGGGATTCAATTTGCACTGTAATTCAGCCATTTTCAGGATGAGATTTTGGGTTTGGTTTTCAATAATCTCAGCTTTGTTGTTATAAAATATAAGAGTTTCTTTCAGGGCAGAAAGAGAAACTTTTGGGTTATTCATGCGGCACTTGAGCTGGGAAATTTAATCCCTAAGATCATCCTTTCCTTCTCTACATTAGGAGTAACTAGCCAATCTCATTGTTCTCATGAGAACTCAAAAATGTTCTAAGGTATCAAATACAGATGCCCAGAACCTTGCTTCTTGTAAATGTCTGAATAGGATTACCTAATGGCAATACTTTGCATATCTCTACTGTCACATTACACTATGAATTATTAATACTCTATTCACTACTGAAAAGTCATTAATGCCTTTACATCTTATCAGATTAGGGAAGTAATTCATAAAACTCATCCTTAAAATTCTGTTCTATTGCTCTCAGTACCAAATTCTGTTACTCTAGATTCTCTAGATAAATAGAATCAATAGGCTGTATATATACAGTGAGAAAGATTTATTTTAAAGAACTGACTCATGATTGTGGGGACTGGCAAGTCAATATCTGCAGGGCAGGCCAGCAGGTTAGACCCCAGGGAAAAGCTGACATTGTAGTCTTGAGTGCAAAGGCAGTCTGGAGGTAGAATTC